>NC_000015.10:24185964-24488995 GCF_000001405.40 Homo sapiens | reverse complement strand
GCCTCACCTGCTTAGAAAGAGCAAAATAGTGTCTAGAGATTCACACTGTGAATTTGTATCCAACAATCACAGGAACTCAACAGAAGAAGTGAAAGAACCTTTGGATACTTTGAAAGGAGCAGCAGGCAGCAACTTGCACCATGTGTCAGATGGGAAATTGAGGCTTCAGAGTGCGAAAGGGGGAGACTCTCTCTGTGATACATTCCCACTGGGGAACCAGGCAGTCCAGGTCACAGGGAAGTGCCTTAACCCTGCCCAGCACTGGAGCTGACTTACAGAGGAGGGGACCATGAAAGAAGGAGTGGCACCTGGGTGTGCTGCGTGTGCACTCCCAGATCCCAGCAGGCACAGAAGGAAGATATTCCTGACCCTGATTCATAGAAGATCTTGCAGAAATCAGCGAAGTAACCCAGGCAGCAGTCACGCACTGAAAGAAGCTCCCAACTGAGGGAGAAGCTGACCAACTAAGATTTGTATTTGATCTAATATTGAGCAGCGGATGAACCCCTTAAGGCCCGAACCAAGGGGCATGCAGGAAGCTTTCTTGTGCCAGGGTCATGGGAGCTGGGTACTGCTGCTTCACATGTCAAATCAAGGGGTGTGGCCTCAGAGCTACCGTTTCAGTTTCAGTCTCCAGTGGGAAGTCTTGCAGCCTGGGGCAGGTTTGTGTTCTCAGCCTAGACTGCCTGGGACTTAGCTGGCTATTGTGGGTGTTTGCCAGCAGAGGTCTGCATGTGTAAGACCTTCTGTGTCAAGGTCATGGGAATTGACCTGCCACTTGCTACCCCTCTCTCCGTACAGACTCTCATGTGGCAGAGGGTGTTCTCCTCCCTGGAACACTATCCCAGTGGTCAGGGAACTGTCCACTGACCCCCATTGTGGCTTCTGCTTACACTCACACTTGGAGAGGCAGAGTATGGACTGTCCTGACCCAGCCCACACTCGGCTTTGCCCCTCTACCTGTCCTAGTAGCAGAATAGGAACAGGGACTTCTTAGAATTCCGTGTCACTTCCCATCAGCTGACTACTTCCCCTGGGTAACAAAGGTTAAGCATAAATCCCACCACCATGACTGCATCTGGCTCTCTCCTGCAATTGCCACCTTCTGGTCCAAGGTCAATCAACACAGTCCATTACAACATCTGCCGGCATATTAACATGATACTGGTATAAATGTAGACATACAGACCAGAGGAACAGAACAGAGACCCCAGAAATGAAGCCAAATACTTACGATTAACTGATTTTCAACAGAACAGACAAAAACATAACTGATGAATGAACACCCCATTCAACAAAAGGTGCTGGGAAAATAAGATAGCCACATGCGGAAGAATGAAACTGGATCCATATCTGTCACCATATATAAAAATTAACTCAAGATGGATTAAAGACTTAAATGTAAGACATGAAACCGTAAAGACATTGGCCTAGACAAACCTAAGACCCCGAAAGCAACTACAACATAAACAAAAACAAATAAATGGGACTTAGCGAAACTGAAAAGCTTCTGCACAGCAAAAGAAATAATCGACGGAATAAAGAAACAACCTACAGAATGGGAGAAAATATTTGGAAACTGTCCATCCAACAAAGGACTAACCCAGAATCTACAAGAAACACAAACAAATCAGCAAGAAAAAAATAAATAACCCCATTAAAAAGTGGGGAGATGACATGAACAGGCAAAAGAAGATACACAAATGGCCAGCAAACATATGAAAAAAAAATGCTCAACATCACTGATCATCAGGGAATGCAAATTAACACCATAATGCGATACCAATCTTACCCTAGTCAGAAGGACCATTATGAAAAAGTCAATAAATGATAGACATTGGTGTGGATGAGGTGAAAAGGGAATGCTTAGACACCCTTGGTGGGAATGTAAATTAGTACAACCTGTATGGTAAACAGTATGGAGATTTCTCAATGAACTTTTAAAAGCAGAGCTACCATTCAATCTAGCAATCCCACCACTGGGCATGGACCCAAATGAAAAGAAGTCATTCTATCAGTCCCCACCTCCAGTCTTCCTGGACCCTGCAATTCGGGGGTTTCAGGCTCGGGACAAGTGCAGGGTTCTCCATAAAGGCAGCCTCGGTGGTGGACCCGACCCCTTGCAGCCCCACAGAGAGGGAGCGGAGGGGCGCGTTCTGCAGCCTGCTGCACAGGATAAAAGGTAAATTCCACCTGGTGAGCAGAAGGCGCCTGTGGCAGCTCCGCTGGGGCTGGGGGAGTACAGGCGAGAGTGGCTGGCGGCCTGGCACACAAGTGTATGCAGAGCACATGCTCAGAAAACTGGGGCAGACAGGCAAAGGTGGTGGTCGCAGAGACTTTGGTTCAGGGGCTCAACACGCCGGCCAGGGATGTGGCCCATCACCTAGTCTCTGGAAGCACTTTATGCTCCTCACTCGGCTTCCTGTTACAAATCGTGACAATATATTTCAGAGGACCTGGGGGAAATTCGCCCTCTTGGCACCATCAGGTCGGTTCTCTGTGGCGTTCCGCTGGGGAAGGGAGGAAGTCCCCACAGATGGTGTGAAGGAGGGGTGCCCGACCTCAGGCTTGGCACATGGGTGAGCTCCACTTCCCGGCCCCAAAGCCCTTATTGCATCTGCTGCAGACTCCGTCAGACTGGGCACGGTGATCCAAGAGTTCACCCAAGTGAGAAATCCGGGTTAAGGTAGGTGTTGCTGCCCAGCGGGAGACCAGAGCCTGCCTTCTTCCTGGGCCTGAGGGAAGTGACATGGCCATTGCCAGGGCTGGGGTCCAGAGAAGGCTGTTTCTGGTGTCACTGTGCTCTGTGCCAAGTAGGGAGAAATGTTTTTAAGGAGTTGACAACAACTCCTGAGAAAGCATTTCAGTGGTTACTGGAGGACTTGCACTCTGGAAATGCAGAGAACCCAGGACTGCTGCCAGGAATAACTAGGTGATTACACACGAGACGGCAGACAGAGCCTGGCTCATTTCAGTACTCTGCATGGGTTAGTTGCCACCATCAGCTGTGATGGGAACATGTGGTGATTGCTTCACAAGATGACAGTGGCCCTGAGGAGTCTGGAGACTGGGAGGTCCCAGATCAAGGCGCCAGCAGGTTTGGTGTCTGGAGACAGCCCACTTCCTGGCTTACAGTCAGTGGGCTTCTCTTGTGCTGGCATCTCTCTCACTCCTAGGCCAGGCTCCTTCTGCAACCAATCGTTAGCTGCCAACCCCTAAGGGCCAGACAATACATTTACAAATTACAACCTGGCACATCCAAGGTAGCAGGAGGAGAAAGAGCAACTTTTTGTCTTGGAAGCCAAGCTTCGTTGTTGGCTGGCACCCAATGTGCATTTCAGGTTTTTACGGTTCCTTGTCTGAGGTTATTGTAGCTGATTCCCAGGGTATCCTAATCTAAGAAGCAGTGAGTGAGCAGTGAGTTGGAAGCAGTCAGTGAGCCTGAACTTTGCTAACTGGAAGGACTGGCTGTCCCCTCCCCTTACCTTCCAGTCTCTCTCCCTGACTGCCCTGTACAAGACAGCCCCACCTGAAATAACTGAAGGCACTTCAGTTCTGTGTTGCTTTTCCTTGCAAAACATGGGTAAGATCTTAAAAAGATCCTGGAAGTGTGTCTCTGTGGCATGCATCGAGGTACGTATCCTTCCTTGAGGTGTGTTAGTTTCATCTTTCAGTACTCAGAGTTGTCTGCATATTGCCAGGGAGGGAGGAGGTGCCAAACCCTGTGCTCAGCCAGGATGCCCTGGCCTGGCCACGCCTTCTGAGGCTTCCACAGACCTAAGAGGGACTAAGAGCTGGGGTCAAAATGTTCCTGTCACTGACGCCCTGCTTCCAGAAAAGAGATCCAGAAGGAAAAAGAAAAGATGTTGGGACCTTTTTTTTTTCTTTTCCTAGCCACATCTTTTGGGGGTTGGGGTGGGACAAAATAAACCTATGTTCAAGAAGACAGTCTATGCTGAAAATGACACACAGTGTAACCACCCAATGGATTCACCTTGCCTGCTGCCTAAAAGAGTTGATTTATCAAGACAGGAAAATTGCAATAGACAAAGAGTAATTCACAGAAAGCCAACTGTGTAGGAGACTGGAGGAGTTTTATTATTACTCAAATCAGTCTCCCAGGACATTCAGGTATCAGTGTTTTAAAGGATAATTTGGTGGGTGGGGGAAGGCCAGTGAGTTTGGAGTTCTGATTGGTCACATCATAGATGGAATCACAGGGAGTCCAAGCTGTCCTCGTATGCTGACTCAGTTCCTAGGTGGAGGCCACAAGATCAGATCAGGCAGTTTATCCACCAGGGTTGTGCCAGCTGATCCATCAAGTGCAGGGGCTGCAAAATACCTCAAGCACTGATCTTTGGAGCAGTTTAGGGAGGGTCAGAATCTTGTAGCCTCCAGCTGCATGACTCCTAAGCCATAATTTCTAATCATGTGGCTAATTTGTTAGTCATACAAAGGCAGTATAGGCCCTAGGTAAGAAAGAGGTTTGAGAAAGGACTGTTATTGTCTTTGTTTTAAACTATAAGCTGTAAAGTAAGTTCCTCCCAAAGTTAGTTTAACTTTGCCCAGGAAGGAACAAGGGCTGCTTAAAAGGTTAGAAGCAAGACGGAGTCGGTTAGGTTAGATCTCTTTCACTGTCTCAGTGCAGGTGGATCACTTGAGCCCAGGAGTTCCAGACCAGCCTGGCCAACAAGGCAAAACCCCATTTTTACTAAAAATACAAAAATTAGCCAGGTGTGTCACACCTGCAGTCCCAGCTCCTCAGCGGCTGAGGCACAAGAATTCCTTGAACCCAGGAGGCAGTGGTTGCAGTGAGATGAGATTGGGCCACTGCTCTCCAGCCTGTAGGACAAAGTGAGACCCTGTCTCTCTCTCTCTCTCTCTCTCTCTCTCTCTCACACACACACACACACACACACACACACACACACAGTCATTCTATCAAAAAGACACTTACACTTCTAGGTTTATCACAGCACAATTCACAATTGCAAAAATACGAAATCAATCTAAGTGCCCATCAACCAATTAGTGGATAAAGAAAATGTGTGTGTGTGTGTGTGTGTGTGTGTGTGTGTGTGTATGTATGTATGTATATTACAGAATACTACTCAGCCATATAAAAGAACAAAATAATGTTTTTTCAAAGCAATTTTGCCATTATCACAATTGAAATAACTCAGGAGCAGAAAACCAAATACCGCAGGTTCTCACTTACAAGTTTGGGGTAAGCAATGGATATGCAGGAGCATGCAGAGGGGGATCATGGACATTAAAGATTCTGAAAGGAGGAGGGTTGGAGGTGAGTGAGGGATAAAAAATTACCTATGAGGTAAAATGTACACTATTCGGGTGACAGGTATGCTAAAAGCCCCAGACTTCACCACTGTACAATTCATGCATTTAACCAAAAACTACATGTAATCCCAAAGCTATTGAAATTTTAATAAATTTATTTCAAAGAAAAAGCAGTGGTGTATGATTCTCCAAGTACTGAGTGTTTGTTGTATATAGTGACTTTTCTTTATGCACACAACATGAAAAGGGAGAAAAAGAATAATTTTACGGAAGAGATTTTTAGAATGAAAAGATTTTTATCCAGGTGATCAAATTAACATCAACAGTGATAAAGCCTGTTGACAGCTTGTGCCCTGGATATTATGTGATAGGAATGGTACTTTTCATCTATATTCTTCCTCCCTTAAGCCCAGAAGTCCAGTCTCATCATGAGAGAAACAGCAGAGAAATCCCAAATTAGAAACGTCAATGGCATGAAAAACAAGGAAACGCTGAGAAACTATCACATTCAATGGAGCCTATGAAGCCATAATATCTAAATGTGACGACTTATCCTAGAAGAGATCCTAAAACATAATCTTAACATTAAGCAAAAACTAAAAAATGAGAATAAAGTATGTATAGTACTCAATGACAATACATGAGATTGGTTGGTTAATTCTGACAAATGTTTCACGCTATGAGATTAATAATAAAGGACACTGTGCATGGAGTATATGGAAACTCTCTACTAGATTTGCAACTATTCTGTAAATGTAAAACCATAGAACCGTTTTTTGTTGTTGTTTTTGTTTTTTGTTTTTTTTTTGAGACAGAGTCTCCCTCTGTTGCCAGGCTGGAGTGCAGTGGCATGATCTCAGCTTACTACAATCCCCGCCTCCTGGGGTCAAGTGATTCTCCTGTCTCAGACTCCTGAGTAGCTGGGATTACAATCGTCCACCACCATGCCAGGCTAATTTTTTGTATTTTTACTAGAGACAGGGTTTTGCCATGTTGGTCTCGAACTCCTGACCTCAGGTAATCTGCCCGCCTCAGTCTCCTAAAGTGCTGGGATTACAGGCGTGAGCCACTGTGCCTGGCCTTGGAAAACCATTGTTTAAAACTTGTTATTTTTGTTGTTGTTAATGTCACTCCCAAGCTTAAAAAAACCAATGATTAGCAATATTGTTGATACCTCCTTTGTGCATCTCCTTAATTTCTCAGTTTTCCTTAAGCACTGAACTTAACTATATTGTGAATTGTCATTCCATACTTTAAAAATAGTTTTTCCTCTTTGAGTATTTCTGAATACTATATTCTTTAGGGCTTTTTTGTCTTCAGATTTAAGTGAAGTTATTTCATTCATTAATATTCCTAGTTTAATCATGAGAAAACATCAGCTGAAACCATATCGTGGGACATCCTATTAAATACCTGACTGGTACTTTTCAAAAGGGTCAAGGTCATGAAAAAGAAGTGAAGGCCAGGAAACTGTTTCATATAGGAGAATACCTGATGTGTCAGGTAGACTCTAAGTTGGTGCCCATTTATCCCCACCTTCTCATATACACAACCTTCTACTGTAATCCCATCCAAGTGACTCTAAGCAGGAATTGAGACTTGCTTCGAAACAATAGAATAGTGCAAAGGTATAGAAGTGTCACTGGGATTCTTATATATGATTATGATTTTGGTCTTGCTAGAGATGTCTCTCTTGATGGATTTTATGAAGCCATGTGAGAGAAGCCCCCTTGGCAAGGCACTTTATTTAGCCAATGGCCAACAGCCAGGAAGGTAAGAGGCTTTTTGTGCAATGCACTGTTCTACAGTTGGAAACATTATATTTAAAACTAACCATACTGCCCAAAGAAGTTTACAGATTAAATGCCGTTCCTACCAAACTACTAAGGACATTCTTCACAGAACTAGAAAAAAACTGTGTTAAAACTCATATGGAACCAAAAGAGAGCCCCAATAGCCAAGGCAATCATAAACAAAAAGAACAAAGGTGGAGGCATCATGTTATCTAACTTCAAACTATACTACAGGGATAAAGTAACCAAACAGCATGGTGCTGCTATAACAGCAGGCACATAGACCACCTGAACAGAATAGAGAGCCTAGAAATAAGGCCGCACACTTATGACCATCTGACCTTTGACAAAGCTAACAAAAACAAGCAATGGGGAAAAGACTCTCTAATCAATGAACGGTACTGGGAGAACTAGCTAGCCATATGCAGAAGACTGAAACTGGACCCCTTCCTTACACCATATACAAAAATTAACTCAAGATGGATTAAAGACTTAAATGTAAAACCCTAAATTATAAAAACCCTGGAAGACAACCTAGGCAATACCATCCTGGATATAGGAATAGGCAAAGATTTCATAATAAAAACTCTGAAAGCAATCACAACAAAAGCAAATATTGGCAAATGTGATCCAATTAAACTGAAGAGCTTTGCACAGCAAAAGAAATTATCATCAGAGTGAACAGACAAACTACAGAATGGGAGAAAATATTTGCAGACTATGCATCTGATGAAAGTATAATATCCAGCATCTATAAAAAACTTAAACAAATTTACGAGAGAAAAACAAACAACCGCATTAAAAAGTAGGCAAAGCACCGGGCGCATTGGCTCACGCATGTAATCCCAGCACTTTGGGAGGCCAGGTTGGGCGGATCATGAGGTCAGTAGATCGAGACCATCCTGGCTAACATGGTGAAACCTCGTCTTTACTAAAAATATAAAAAATCAGCCAGGTGTGATGGCATGTACCTGTAGTCCCAGCCACTTGGGAGGGGGAGACAGGAGAATCGCTTGAACCCGGGAGGCGGAGGTTGCAGTGAGCCGAGATTGCACCACTGCACTCCAGCTTGGGCAACAGAGTGAGACCCGGTCCCAGAAAAGAAAAAAAATAGTGGCAAAGAATAAGAACAGACAATTTTCAAAACAGGACACACATGCGGCCAACAAGCATATGAATAAAAGCTCAATATCATTGATCATTAGAGAAATGCAAATCAAAACCACAATGAGATACCATCTCACACCAGTCAGAATGGCTATTATTAAAAAGTCAAAATAACAGATGCTGGTGAGGTTGCAGATAAAAAGGATCACTTACACACTGTTGGTAGGAGTGTAAGTTCATTCAACCATTGTGGAAAGCAATATGTCAATTCCTCAAAGAGCTAAAATCAGAACTACCATTCAACTCTGCAATCCCATTACAGGGTATACACCCAGAGGAATAGAAATCATTCTTCCAAAAAGACACATCCACATGAATGTTCACTGGAGCACTACTTACAAGAAAAAAGACATGGAATCAACTTAAATGCCCATCAATGACAGGATGGATAAAGAAAATGTGATACATATATATCATGGAATACTATGTAGCTGAAAAAAAAATGAGATCATGTCTTTTACAGGAACATGAATGGAGCTAGAAGGTATTATCCTTAGCAAACTAACACAGGAGCAGAATACCAAATTATCACATATTCTCACTTTTAAGTGGGAGCTAAATGATGAGAACTCATGAACACAAAGAACAGAACAAAGGTCACTGGGGCCAACTTGTAAGTGAAGGGTAGAAGGAGGGAGAGGAGCAGAAAAAGTAAATATTGGGTAGTAGGCTTAGTACCTGGGTAATAAAATGATCTGTACAATAAACCTCCATTACACAAGATTACCTATATAACAAAACTATACATGTATCCACAAACCTAAATTTAAATATATACAGTTAAAAAAATCAAAATCATATAAAAACTATAAAAAATAAAAAAAACTAAACTGACCTACTTTTCAAGTAAAGTTATATTGCTTAACAGTTACTGTATCTTATAACAAATAATCCTAATTCCTTTCTCCTGTCCTTTGCATTATTGCTGATATCCACTTCATATATATATGTGTGTATATATATACATATACACGCACACATACAAACACACATGCACATGTGCATATATCCGTACACATATATACTTATACATAAGCTATATCCATAGGCTTATATTATTTAATAATTTTTCTATTATTTTCAAGAAATTGTTTTCTCTTATAATTAGCTAAGATTATAAAAATGTTAAACCAAGAAAAAGTTAAAATTATATATAACTCATATTTTTAGAAATGCGAGAGACGGAAAAATATAAAATGCTCAATGAGAACCACGAAAGGCATAAAATGAATGGAAGATGAAAATAGGAAGAAGGAACAAGGACAACAAATCGAAAATATTGACAAATATGATAAATATTAATCCAACTATATCGCTTACCACTTTGAATGTCAGTGGTCTAACTGCACCAAGTAAAAGACACAGATTTACAAAATGAATCAAAAAACAAGACACAACTGTTATTTATAAGCCCAACCCAAATATAAAGACAAATAAAAGTAAATGAATGGAACAAAATGTACGATGCTAACTCTAATCAAAGTAAACAAGAGGAGCTATATGAATTACAGGCAGAGCAGACTTCAAAGCAAGAAAAGTTATCAGGAATAAAGAAGGGCATTACATAGAGATGAAGAGCCATTCTTCCAAGAAGATGTCATAATTCTTAAAGCCTATGAGCCTGATAACAGAGCATAAACTATGAGGCAGAAATCAACAGAACCACAAGGAAAAAGATGAATTCAGTATTATAGTTGGAAACGTTAACACCCTATATCAGATACGGACAGATCTAGCAGGCAGTAATTCAGGAGGGAAAAGCTGAACTCAACAGCACCAACAAGCAACTGGGCATAACTGACACCTACAGTCTCCTTCCCTCAACTACTCCAGAGGACACATTCTTCTTAAGCTCACATGGAATATTCAGCAAAATGTGCCACATTCTGGGACAAAAAATACCCCAACAATTTTTAAAAAGTAAATCATACAATGTCACCTGTCAGACCACAGTGGAATTAAAATAGAAATCAAAGGATGACTGGAATGATAACTGTAATATCCCAAAATGCATTGAGATTAAACAACACACTTCCATATAACATATTGGTCAAAGAAGATATCTCCAGCGAAATTTTTTTAAATTAACTAAATGAAAATAAAAGCACAATTTATCAAAATTTGTAGGATGAAAGGAAAGCAGAACATATAGGCAAATAAATACCATTGAACACATATATAGGAAATGACGAAAAGACCAAAAATCTGTCATCTGTGTTTCCACCTTTGGAACCTAGAAAAGGAAGAATATATTAAATCTAAAGTCAGTAAAAGAAAAGCGATAACGTTGTTAACAGACTAAAACAAAGGAAAAGTTAAAGCAACTGGATTTTTCAAACACATATTATCTTAATAGTTCTCAGAACACAGAGGCACCCAAAATTAACAGGGCAAACAAAGCACCCCAACACCCCCCTTGCTTACGGGTATGCAGCCATGACCCCCTCAGAAATGGGAACCTCAGGATTTAGAAATGATCAGTCTCGGGCTACTGAGGCCGGGCAGTATCATTTCCTCCGAAGTCACGCTGTACATTTTAGAATAGCTAAATAATAGATTTTTAGTGTTCTCACCATAAAGTATTAGCTGGTGAGTTGATGCCCATGTTAATTAGCTTGATTGAATCTTCCCCAATGAATACAAGAATCAAAATATCACACTGTTATCCATAAATATACGCAATGTGTCAACTAAGTTTTGGTAAAATCTGTATCTATGAATAATTCACAAATAGGAAACGTAGGTAAGTAACAATTGTTATGTCCATAATATAAAAGGGCATATGTGACAGAAAGCAAGGTTTTTAAATGTACGTTACGGTCTGGGAAACACGGAGAAATCCTGAGGTTTGAAGAAGAACAAACAGGGACGACGACACAGGCAGGCACCGCCGCAGGAACAAGCGCGCGTTCGCAGAGAAGCGACCAGAAAGCCCAACGCGCACCCGGCAGACATCCGCCCTGAGTTCTCCTGTAGATCTCACCGCCCTCTCCCCCTGTCAGCCGCGCCCTCTGATCACCGCCCTCCACCTTCCTCCCTCACTCCCTGTCAGCCTCGCCCTCCACCCGCGGCCCTCACGCCCCACGTGGGCCTGGCTCCCGCCCCCAAGCCCAGCCTGCGCGGCAGCCTCCGGTTCCCCTCACTGCGCAGCTGCGACCCCCGCACCGGCACTTCCCTTCAGGCTGCTCCCACCATCACCTGTGTGGGCGCCAGGTGGAGAGGAGCCTGCAGATCCGAGTTTTCTCCTCCATGGATCCCACCCTACACCTGCAAAAGGACTGAGGGGGCAGAAACCTGCCCTGGCGGGGAAGTGAGGGTCTGAGCGATGGAGAAAAGGCGGCGAACAAGAGCAGCCCCATGAGCCCTGCAGTCAGGCAGCCGGGGGTCCTCTTTGCTCTTCTCCACCCTCCTTTCTCCCAGACACACGCCCCCCTGGCCCCGCCCAGGAGCCTCCCCGGGGGACAGGGCCCACTCACTCCTCAACGTCCTTCCCATAGGCTGAGCTCATGGGCTGGGGTAACATCTCAGGGAAACAAACCCAGACATTCGAATCCCTCCCCACAGAGCGCAGTCCTCAGGGAGCGGCCCTCCCTGCCTCCCCTGCCCAGTCCCTCCGTGGTCTGCCCTTCCTGCTCCTGCTTCCTCACCAATTACTCATCCCAGCGCTCCTTCCAATCCACTGACCTCTTCTCATGGCCTGGCCTGTGCCAGGCACACACGTTTTCCTCCTCGCTTTCCCTCCCCTGTCTCCTGGACCCACTGCGCCTCACTCTCCAGCATCTCCTCCAATGTTCCTCCTCCTGGAGGCTTCCCCTGTCCATCCCACCCCAGGCCTGAAACCTGTCCTCTCAGTTCCCAAGGGTAGCTCTTCCACCTTATAGTTTAATTTTTGTCAAGTTTTCTGAAACCCTATTGGACAGAAGCATCACAGAACATGGCAACTTTGTCTATGGTGTCTCTGAGCCCCACACATGTCCTGGACAGAAAGCAACTCTGAAAATTCTCTGGTAATCTATAAAAGTATAAATCAGTTTTAAAAGATTATTATCTGATAGAAGAAAATAAACTGAAGTTCCCATTTCTTTTCTACAGACGATAATCGGAAAACATTTGCTGTGTGCAGTTGTATGCACAGATTTTCGGAGTGGCTTTTTTTTTTTTTTTAACTGAAGAAGCAGTTTTGGTATTTACTCATCAAAGAGTAAGAGAAGAATACACACCTATATTATGAGCCATAAGTATAAGGAAATGTCTTGCAGACGTTTACAAATACTATGTAGAAGGAATCAGAGATTCAAGCCAGTATCTATAAATTTCAGGTAAAAGAAAAACAATATGCTGAAGTTTATTTGTGCTTATTAACAAAATAACTGGTCTTTGTGTGCTGGAAGGGAGTCTTGATATTCCATCTATTCAAATTAATGCTTTTGAACCTTGCAAATTAGAACAAACTAAGCCATATACGAAACCCTTTTTAAGTATGAGTCTCTAGCAAATTTTGTCTTGTGGTTCCTAGCAAACTTTCTGCACCTCTTCAACTAGGAGTATTTCAGATGAAATTTGTGGAAAACAATTATAGACAATGGGTGATATTTCCATTAATTTAATGAAGAGTGATAAAATATAAAAATAAAGATATTTTGAAAAATGATTATGAATAATTAAACAAAATAAAAGGCATTAATACACACTACAAAAATTTAAATTTGGTCATACATGATGTTTATGTGATGATTAAAAAGTACGTTGACACAGAAAGGGTCAAAGGCCTTTGCACACCAAAACAAACACTGTTTCATTTGTTCAAAACAAATACTGTGTCATTTGTTTTCAGACAGCAAACAGAATGATTCTTTGACACACTCAATCTTTCCCAGAAATAACCGAATTCCCCAACCAACACCAGAGTAGAGCAAGAAAATGTTGGTGTTTCCCATGAAGACACCACAGAGACAGACTCAACTCTCCTGCATCTACCTAGGCACTGTCTTGGATAGACGTGGTCTGGAGGAGGTAAATCTTGCCTAGTGAGTTGTCTGTGTCTGTGCAGGAAGCACCCAAGGATGTTTGTTTTGGAAAAATACAAAAGTATAAATTTGGTTGTACATGATGGCTATGTGACCAAGAAAAGAGTGTTTCCTTGTGTTTAACACACAAGTTTTAAACACATTTGTACACAAAACCAAAAACCAAGATGTAACATTACAGTGCCAGGACTGAAGGGGAAATGTGCCATGGGTCAGAAAGAAGAATGATTATTTAACAAATTCATGCTCATACAAAATAACTGAATTCGCCACCCCACCCAACAGGGGCTCCTCCCCTTGTGCATGCAGACCCCACAGAGAGGTTCTGATCTCAGGGCTCCCTGCTGGTCCTGCCTTTGATGTGCATCGTCTGGAGGAGGAGCCCCATGTCCACAGCATCATCTACAGCAAGGCAGGAGGCACCCGGGGCTGCATCTCCAGGTTTTCCCACCACCTGCTGTTGTTGAAGGTATGAAATACATAAACTGAGGAGTGGTGTTCACAGATCTTATAAGATTAACAACGATAGACTGGATTAAGAAAATGTGGCACATATACACCAAGGAATACTATGCAGCCATAAAAAATGATGAGTTCATGTCCTTTGTAGGGACATGGATGAAACTGGAAACCATCATTCTTAGCAAACTATCGCAAGGACAAAAACCAAACACCACATGTTCTCACTCATAGGTGGGAATTGAACAATGAGAACACATGGACACAGGAAGGGGAACATCACACACCGGGGACTGCTATGGGGTGGGAGGAGGGGGGAGGGATAGCATTAGGAGATATACCTAATGCTAAATGACGAGTTAATGGGTACAGCACACCAACATGGCACATGTATACATATGTAACAAACCTGCATGTTGTGCACATGTACCCTAAAACTTAATGTACAATAATAATAAAATTAAAAAATAAATAAATAAATAATAAAAAAGAAAACAAAAAAAAGATTAACAAAGACATTACAGACATAAGAGACAACAATGATATTCTAAAACTCTAAAGCCACTGATTGATTCAAAGTCCAGCTGAAAGTATTGGTGTAGGTGAAAGGCATGTAGATTTTTAATCTTCTTTCACTTCATTATGGAAAGGCACAGTCATTAAGAGAATGGTCACTAAATTATTGTATTAAATGAAGTCTGTTAGCAACTAAGAAACTGTTGCATTTGCACAGAGACAGAGGAATAAACCAATGAAAAAATAAAACATCATAAATAGAGACGTGTATATGTGAACAAATCATTTGTAAGTCAATTAATGGGGACAGATTAATTTTTCTAAAACTATTCAAAAAACTGAATATTTATAAGGGAATTAAAATCTGACCTTTAACTTCATTTTACACACAAAATCAGGTGGATCACAGACATATATATATATATTTAGTACAGTATATATATATATATTTAGTACAATATGTAGAACACATAAGAAAATATCTTTGGGACTATGTGGTAGGGTAGGGTACCTGAAACTAGACCTAGAAAGCACTAATTCTACAAGAAAATATTCTACATATTCTACATAGTTGACTTGAGCAACGACTTTGGAGACAGAATGAATCAAACTCAAAGCACTTTTAATCCTTTCATGTAGTGCTTAGTGTCAGATTCAGAACTGGCCCGTGGCAGTGGTAACAGTGCTCACCTCTGGAAATGTCAGGTGGGTTTGTATAAAATAATATATAAAGCATGTAGTATAATATCACGTCTATACATATCATTAAGACTAATTTTTATAATAAGTTGTGAGATTTATCTTTTAGATTTATATATCAGAATGAAATAATAAAACCACTAATAAATAATGGAGCAAATATTTCTAATTCAAGTTTTATAATTATTTTAAATTTATATTATTTTAAATTTATATTATGTATAATTATTTTAAAAACTTTTCTCAACTAACATGTTTATATTTGTTTTATATCATTCCTGTGATTACATGAGACAGAACATATATGCAAAATACATTTACAAAGGTATTGCTAACACTTACTTCATTCAGAACAAACTCTCTGAATCACTTTCAACTCATCTTGTCCATGATTTTCCCCACAATATCATCTGTGCTAATCACAAGCACTGATAGTGCTGCATTTCTCATGGGACTCCTATGCTACTCTATGTAAGTTTATCTTTCCAGTCTCCTGACACCCTTCTGTAAGTTTTGATGCTTGATATAATTACCCAAAGATGTCTTTGGGGAGGTTTAGACCAAGTTCTTGTGTGTGTGCCAACGGACAACCACATCATGACTGCTTTCTGGCAATAATGTTATAACCCTTTCAAATAGAAGATGCATCTCTCCTTAAAAGATGTTCCCCTTCCTGTGTCCAACCAGTTAATGGGTGCAGTACACCAACATGGCACATGTATACATGTGTAATAAATCTGCACATTGTGCACATGTACCCTAAAAATTAAAGTACAATAATAATAAAATTAAAAAAAGAAAAAAAAAGATGTTAAATTGTGTACCAAAGAATTGTTTACACACTTTTTCTCTGTGACTGCCCACTTCTCAGTGTTAAATGGTGGTGGCTGAGGCAGGAGAATCACTTGAACCCCGGGGGCGGAGGTTGCAGTGAGGGGAGATCTCGCCACTTCACTCCAGCCTGGGCGAAACAGCAAACTCCAACTCAAAAAGAAAAAGAAAAAATCATGGTGGCTAATCTGCTATATTTTAGTCTGTTATTAAGTAAACATTGTTGTATATATTTTCACATTAATTTAACAATTCTATTTACATTCTACTTAGTTATTAGAAATATTAGACTTATTAGTAAAGTGCTGTAATTGTTTTATAAACTATGGTTCAAGAAATCTGTTGATGAGGAAGATATAAATTGTAGAGAGACACTTGAAATTTTTCCTGAAGTGCTAGTTTTCTAAAGACTAAGGAAAATCTATATTAAAAAAATTGTGTCCTAAAGTTAGTAATATAAGCAATGATCCCTGCAAGCTACATTACAAATTCAATTCTTTAATCTATAACATTCTTGATCTCTGTTTTTCTTCATTCTCATTCACCCTTTTAATCACACAAATGGTGATAATACATAGGCACTGTAGAAGCAGATGCATTGTGATCTTCATAAAATGCTTTGTTCTGCCCCCTTGCTACTCTGGCAAACTCTACTTTTGGACACTTGGATATTGAAATTAGTTTTCCTGTTTCCCTGGGAAAATATTAAGTGAAGAAGAAACTCATACAATTCATAATTTAGGACTTTGACTGAAATTTCACCTATAGTTTTAGACTGCAGGAAGGTTGAATTGCATGAACATGAAGTAATGATGTTAAATATATGGGCCATTCATCCACTGAACTACAACTCCTAATCAGGCTAGAGTGTGGAGACAGCATGTTGGGATGTTTGTCTTATATTGTGGTCTAAGACTTGGGTTTGTTTGCAGTGACATCTTTTTTTAGAATTGTGGTGGCCTTTGTGAATTTAGTGGCTTAGTATATTGTGGGAAATCATGCCTTCCATGCTGTTAAAGCACTTGTTTGGGCACTCAGTGCTCAGCACTCTGTCCTTTGTGTCCATGATAATATGTCAGTAGAGTTTTGTGTATAGTGCCTGTTTTCCTTTAAATTTGAGAACTCAGATCTCAATTATTGTGACCACCATGTGGTAGTCCTCATAACTCATGTCCAGGTCTAACTGTGGCTCATATGTGTCACTCTGGCCATTTTTTGGTCCATTTATTGGTGGGCAGAATATTCACAGTATGCATCATAATAGATCAAAAAGTATGCATTAAAATGAAGAGGAACAGAAGATCTGTCATTTAAGTACTGTACTATAGTATCTTCAGTTAAAATTTAAAAAATGGAATAAACCTCCTTTAAGATGTCAAATTTAAAAGAGGAGTCATGTCTTAAAGAGTAAAGTATATGGAACTTGGAAGACGTGGAAGGTTTCTTAAAGTACAGATGCTCAAATAACAGCACCTAAATCACTTCTATGCTGATATCAGAAGTGAAAAATGTGGTCGAGGTCAGTCATATCTCCCACTCTAGGTCTCCAGGCTGCAAGATCTCATTTTCTCATATAAGCTATCAATGTGCTATAGAGAATATGCCCCATGTTTACAGACCATCATAAAGGCAATAGTCTTGGCTTTGTCTATGTCTGTGTGAGTGCAGCATGCAGACTCATGGCTTGGGAGGCTTTGTAGGCATGGTTCTTTGGCACAACCCTGATGCTAACACCGCAGAGTGCCGTGAACTATGAGCAGGGACCTATGTGGGGGACAGCTGGACAGTTCTTCCTGCTGTGAGATTCTTTGTTTAGCCAGAACACGTGCAGAGTCACCATTTAGCCTGGGTCCATCTCTTAGATCACTGCATGGTGGGGGGAGATCTGTTACACACTGCTTTTTCTTGTATCTACTCAGCTTTCTCCAGCCATACACAGCATATACTGAATCACTCACATGACTTCACCTGCCAAAAACCAGTTGTCCACAGATTCATATCGAGGTCTTAGTAAGCAAGCATTGTCATCAACCACCATATTTAGAAGCATTGTTTGTGTGCCCTACTCACCTGCTGCCAGGATGACATTTATTCTGTGGTCTTTGACCTTGGAAATGGACAATATAATTCCAAGATGTGAAGAGCAACAGAATATATGGTCCCAAATAATTCATGACAAGAGAAATAGAAATTATCACAGTGATCTGATAATCAGTTGAAGAACAAATCTCTGTACCAAGGGAATTAAAACACTCTCCTGATTGTAGAAATACAATTTGTGTTCCCTGTCACTGACATTTTGCAATATCGGCTTCTAAGGTCCAGCAGTCATTTTTTCCAGAAAGGCTTTACTGGAATTATGTGAATAAACTGCCAGACAATGCCTGAAAATGGGGCATCCTGGGATATATGAGGAACAGGCACCTCTCTCTGAAGAAGTGGTTACTGACACTTGAAATGTTCGTGGATAATGAGTAGCATGATTTCAAAGACAAAAATGGATGAGAGTCCCCAGAGCTAACTGTGTTTAACTGAAGCAGGTGCACCTGGGTTCCGAATGGTGGATAGATTAGGAAAGCTGCACTGCTGTTCTTTCCCTACTTGCCCACCCCATCTCCTGAAACCAAGCTAATGTTCTTGTGTCTTTTTGTTGGTTTTTGTTTTGCACCAAAATATTATTTTAAAATTATTTTGAAATCATATTTGACTTACAGAAGGAGGTATATATAGTGCAGAGAGTTTCATATACCTTTCAGCTTAAAGGAATGTTAACACATTATATAACCATAGACTATTCATGAAAACTGAGAAATTGACAGTGTTATAAAACCATCAATGGAACTACAGACTTTCTTCATAGTTCTCCTCAGGTTTCCAATAATGTCACTTTTCTATTCCAGTATCTAATCTAGGATACCACATTACATTCAATGCCAGGTGTGTTACTTAGCTATTGTTGTATAACAAATTCCCACACAGCTGAGTGGCTGAAAAGCACATACACATTACTCACAGCTTCTCTTGGTCAGGAATCTAGATGTAGAAGATGGCCAAGGCTGAAGTCTCCCCTGAAGGCTCACGTGGGGAAGGATCCTCCCCAGGCTCACATGATTGTTGTTAGGATTTAATTCTGGTTCCATGTTAAGATGACTTCAATAGGAAATTATTTCATACCTTTAAAGAATTAATACAAATTCATTATGAATTCTCTAAAAACATTAAATAACAGCAATGACAGTGGTGAAGAGATCACTTCCCAATGCACACTATGAGGTATTTCATCCTCATACCACAATTAGACCAAAACATTTCAAGAAAGGAAAATTAAGACCAATATGCCTTATGAATAAAGAGGCAAAAATCCTTAAGGAAATAATAGCAAAACAAGTCAGCAACATGCAAAAAGTATTATACACTATGGCTAAGGGTATTTCCTCAGGAATGCAAATTTTGTTCAGCATACAATTCATGCACTGTATTAATGGAATAAAGCACAGAACCTGCACGATCATCTCAAAGACACAGAATAAGCACTAGACAAATCAAAAATGCATTCCGATAAAGATACGCAGCAAATAAGAACTGTAAAGAAGCTGTCTTCACTTTAAAGCATCCAAAAAAATAAAAACCCTCACATGATATAAAAGTTTTCTGAAAGGCTCAATACTTTCTCCAAGATTAGAAATAAGACAAGGAATTTCATTCTGGCCACATTTTTCCCCCACATTATGCTAGAGGATGTAGCAAGGACAATTAGTCTAGAAAAATGAATATAAGACATCTAGTATAAAAGAAAGTAAAACTCTGTTGGCAATTGACATGATTTTTGTATAGAACATCAAAATGACTCTAATAAAATAGAATGCAAATTAAAATATAAGTTCAATACAGTTCCAGTACACAGTCAGTATATAGAAACATGTACTTCTATATACTAGAAATTAACAAACTAAACAAAAAACTCAGAAACCCATGCTATTTTAAATAGCATCAAAAAGGAAAAAAACATAAGAATAAATTTAACAAAATACACGTACCATATGTATATTGAAAACTGTAAAATACATTGAATGTAATTAATAAAATTCTATAAAAATGGATAAATATTGAATGATCATTGATTAAAAGGCTTGATATTATTAAGTTGACAATACTTTTTATATGGCTCTATAGATTTAATGCAATTTCCATGAAAATCCCAGGTGACCGTTTTTTCACTAACTTGTCAAACAGATTTTAAACTGTATATATAATGCAATAGAGAAGAGATAAAATAATTTTGAAAAAAAAACAGAATTTGTAAAATAGACTCATACTTTCTGATTTTAAAACTAAAGACAAAGCCATACTAATTAATATGTGTGGTGTAGACATACAGATTGAATATCAAAAAGTTAACCTTTACATTTACGGTCAAATAATTTTACAAGGGCTCCAAATAAATTCAATATGGAAAAGTATTTTTTTCATTAACGGATTCTGGGACAAGTCAACATCATCAACATCAACAGGCAAGTTAAATTCCTCCCTCACAGCATATGCATAAATAGTTCAAATTAGTCACTGATATGGTTTGGACTTGTGTCCCTGCCCAAATCTCATGCCACATTATAATCCCCAATGTTACAGGAGGGGCCTGGTGGGAGGTGATTGGATAACGGGAGAAGACTTCCCCTTGCTGTTCTCATGACAGTAAGTGAATTTTCATGAGATACCGTTATTTAAAAGTATGTAGGACCTCACCCTTCTTTCTCTTCTTCCTTCTCAGGCCATAAAAGATGTGCCTGCTTTCCCTTCTCCTTCTGTCATGATTGTAAGTTTCCTGAGGCCTCCCCAGGCATGTTTCCTCTACAGCCTGCAGAACTATGAGTCAATTAAACCTCTTTGCTTTATAAATTACCCAGTTTCAGGTAGTTCTTTATAGCCGTGCAAGAACAGGCTAATACAGAAAATTGCTACTGGGAGTGGGGCATTGCTATAAAGATACTTGAAAATGTGGAAGTGACTTTGAAACCGGGTAATGAGCAGAGGTTGGAACAGTCTAGAGGGGTCAGAAGAAGATAGGAATATGAGGAGAACTTTGGAACTCTCCAGAGACTGGTTAAATTGTTGTGACCACAATGCTGATAGTGACATGGGCTATGAAGTCCAGGCTGAGGTGGTCTCAGATGGAGATGAGGAACTTATTGGGAACTAGAGTAAGGGTCACTCTTGCTATGTTAGCACAGAGACTGGTGGCATTGTGCCCCTGCTCTAGGGATTTGTGGAACTTTGAATTTGAGACTGATGATTTAGGGCATCTTGTGGAAGAAACTGCTAAGCGCCAAAGCATTCAAGATGTGGCCTGGCTGCTTCTAAGAGTGTATTGTCATAGTGCGAGCAAAGTGATGCTATGAAACTAAAACTTATATTTAAAAAACAGGCAGAGCATAAAAGTTTAGAAAATTTGCAGTCCAGCCATTTTGTAAAAAAGAAAAACCTGTCCAGGTGCTGTGGCTCATGCCTGTAATCCCAGCACTTTGGGAAGCTGCGGCGGACAGATCACAAGGTCAGGAGTTCCAGAGCAGCCCAGCCAATATGGTGAAACCTCGCCTCTACTAAAAATACAAAAATTAGCTGGGCATGGTGGCACATGCCTGTAGTCCCAGCTACTCAGGAGGCTGAGGCAGAAGAATTACTTGAACCTGGGAGGTGGAGGTTGCAAGGTTGCAGTGAGCTGAGACCGCACCACTGCAATCCAGCCTGGGCAACAGAGTGAGACTCCATCTCAAAGAAAAAAAAAAAAAAGAAAAGAAAAACAAAAAAAGAAGAATCCATTTTCTGGGGAGGAATTCAAGCCAGCTGCAGAAATTCGCATAAGAGGAGCCAAATTAGCCGGGCGCGGTGGCTCAAGCCTGTAATACCAGCACTTTGGGAGGCTGAGACGGGTGGATCATGAGGTCAGGAGATCGAGACCATCCTGGCTAACAAGGTGAAACTCTGTCTCTACTAAAAAATACAAAAAATTAGCCCAGCATGGTGGCCTCATACTGAGGGTTTAACCAAGGTTTTCTCTGGTTTGAGCATTTTGGACTTAGACCATGGTACCCAACATGCATCCCAGGATCTCCAACTTTACATGGCATGTGGTAGAAATGGTCAGCCTCCATAATCATGTGATTCAGTTCCCCTAAAAATCTCTATCTATCTATCTGTCTATCTATCTATCTATCTATCTATCTATCTATCTATCTATCGCTAACTAGCTAGTTCCTATGTATCTATCCTATTCGTTCTGTTGCTCTAGAAAACCCTGACTAGTGTAGATTTTGGTAGTAAGAACGGTTCTATAGGAAGAGAATTTTAAGGATGAGTGTCCTTAATCAAATTTGGGGTTTCTAGAATTGGCTTTCTAATCTGATTGCACCTAAATTCTAAGAACTGTACTTCTAACAGTAGAAAGAGCAATGACAGTCAATGACATGAACTGTTTTTAGAGATCCCCAAAATATCTGCACTTGATACTCTTGAAACACTGATAAGAGGCAAGGTACTTGTTTACTCTGTATGTGATACAGACATTTGCGTAAAACCATGGAACACAATGATGATGGGTTTGTTGCTTCTAATTCACTGGGAAATTTGATGAAAGACAATAATGAGCTTAGGGATTCAATTTTGCAGAACCAGCTCCACATAAACAGCCTAAGAGTTTCTACCTGTGCTCTGAGCCAGAAAACTCTCTTGTAGCCACAGGGAAGTATTTGCTAAAAGTCAAACACAAGCCCTTATCATGCCACTGGCTGAATTACAAGAAACGTTGAACTCCTCAGTCTGGCAGGGTGTCTACTGTTGAAGTGGAAATTGAGAAAGAATAGCATCCTGTAACTTGGGATGAGGATGGATGGGAAGACTGATGTGGCTGGGGACACTGATCTCCTAAATTCTAATGAGTTTTTATTGCCAGCAGAAGTGGCCTCCTTACAGCCACCCCCTTGGCAATGGCCTTCCCACACAAGGTGATGTAGGCCTTTCCATATGTGTCTGAGTAGCTTACATCTACAATGCCTAAGGAAACGGTAATGGCTTCCCCTGAAGCAGCTGTCAAACAATACACTGCTGATTATCTTCAAGACCCACCCCTGACAGCTGTGTTTCTTCTAGACTCATGGTGAGACTAAAGTTACAACAGGCCCCTAAAGCTGATGGATAGTATTTCCCATGAGGAGATGTGATCTATGTCAAAAAAGCAACCTGAGTTTTCTAACTAATGCAAACAGAAATCTGAAGACCCTATGTGGAAATAAAGATTATGGCTGTGGATAGCTGGGTGTGGTGGCTTGTACCTGTAGTCCCGGCTACACGGGAGGCTGAAGTGGGATGAATGCTGGAACCCAGGTGTTTGAAGCTGCAGTGAGTCACGACTGTACCACTGCACTCCAGCCTGGCCAAAAGAACAAGACCTCATCTGTAAGAAACCAAAACAAGAAAAAAAAAAAGCGTTGATAACAGTAGAAGGAATATAAACTTGAATCAGTCCAAATTTAATGATATGGGGCCATTAAGCAGATATTCTGGTTTAATGTTGCAGCTTCGGTATTTAAGGATGGTATTAGTGGTGTTATGACTGGTTGGCTGAAATATAGTTCAACAGATGTATGACCATGAGCAAGTCGGTGACTCCCCCATCTTCCCTGTATTATGTTGGATGAAGGAATTCATAGGCCTGGGGAGATAGGAATGCTAGAATGGATTTGCCATTTAAAAGCCACTTACAGCAGGGCATAGTGGCTCATGCCTGTAATCCCAGCACTTTCGGAAGCCGAGACAGGTCCATCAGTTCAGGTCAGGAGTTTAAGACCAGCCTTGCCAACATGGTGAAACCCCATCTCTACAAAAAACTACAAAAATTAGCCAGACATGGTGGCACACACCTGTTGCCCCGGCTACTCAGGAGGCTGAGGCAGGAGGATGGTTTGAATCCAGGAGGCAGAGGTTGCAGTGAGCTGAGATCATGCCATTGCACTCCAGCCTGGGCAATAAAAGTGAGACTGTCTCTAAATAAATAAATAAATAAATAAATGCAACTTATCCATATCGATAGACTCCAGAAAACATACACTTTATCAGGACTTTGTTAGGTGGATTTGTGAGGGGAGGCTGGGCACAACTGAAGAGCTCCCTGATCTCTCTTCTCTGTAGACCAGACCTTAATACAGAAACCACAGTATACCAACTGGAAAATCAAAATGCAATGGGAATAACCCGGTTTCAGGGAATCTTGGGAGCAAGTAGCAACACTCAGTCTTCAAAGACCAGGTTGGCATAGTTATGTCAATGGACGACAAAGGCAAAGCAACAATCAGGTTCATCGATTCCTATAGATTTATGTTGCTGGCTAGTTTATAATAGTGTTCTTGGAATTGAAGTACACAGGTAGCCTACTAAGTGCTTACTTGATTTGAAGAAGCAGAAAATCTTTAGATCAAATGAACAAGATTCTGCCTCAAATCCTAAAAACCAGAGACTCATAGAACCTCACTCAATTCTCACAATTGAGCCAGTATAGAAGAAATTTTGTATGCAATTAAGTTAGCCATAATTTAAAAGGAATTGTTAATAATACTCTTTCTAAAGAATGGTCCCCTATGTTAAATCAAGATTTTTTTAAGGTATCAATGTACTCTTAATAAAATTACAATAAATTTTGATTTTATATTCTATAATATACCTCTTTTGAAAACTTCTGAGATTCATATCTCAAATGTTCAATTGTTGTCTTGCTGCTATCAGCTTTTTCTCCCTTTGATGTGGCCTCGGATGATAACTCTATCCTTCAGCTTCTTGTCAGCTCCTGTAACTTTTCTCCTTAGTTCTAAATGTTGTTGTGGCTGATGCTGAAATATTTTATCTTAGAGGTCTATAAAAGAAATATTTTCCTGCAGGATAACCTGATTCTATATTCTTGGGTTTTTGTTGTTGTTGTTTTTGGTGTGTCTAAATTTTCACTGTAATCAGGAAACTTATCATGCAGCTACTAAGAGTCATGTATTCCCCAGTTCTATTCAAAACCTTGTACACACTCTTCCCATGTTTGATTAAATTCAAGCACTTTTTATCTTAAGTTGTACTTCCAGATTATCTACACAGGCTTTCCTCTAAGGAGAGGCAGTCACACTGAAAAAGGTTTTCCTTTGACTTTCTGGTAACTGGCTTAAGAAACAAGATTTTACGTTTTATCAAGATAGTTCCTATGCTGCCTTTATTAAGCGTCTAATTGTTTTTAAAAAACCCCCGAAATTTGAAAGGAGTAAGGATTTTATACCCGTGTAACTTTTTCTATTGCCTTTAAAGTCTTTCAGTGATCACTTTGTTAAATGAATAACTATTGTTTTACAAGGACCTGTGGTTTAGTTTTGATGAAATATTTTAAGCTTTCTCACATCTTTCACAGACATCTCCAAAATTGAATCCTAAATTAAGTCTCTGACTTCTTGCTGGGGCTTATCAAAGCTAAAAAACATTAATCACTGTGAAGTTTATCACCAACTCCAACACTCTGAAAAAGTTCTTATTAGGTGCTATTAAGTAATCTTTGTGGTGTTAAGGTACAAGGAATTGACTCCTGGATACATGTAGGTCCTCTCAAGAAGACACAGACTCCTGCCAGCATCTAACATCAAACTCGACTTAACCAAAGCCTCATCTTTAGACTCAAGCAAAGGCAATAATCAAAGTACACTGCTTTCATGCAACACAGGGACAGGCATGTATTATACTTTAATAATTTTCCTTCTATCTGAAATAGAAATATATGAAATATAATTTATTCTGTACCTTAATACTAAATAATTTAAATGTTTATCTACCTATAGGCTTCCTTTCCCGTCACTCATTCTTTTTTTTTGAGACGGAGTCTTGCTCTGTTGCCCAGGCTGGAGTGCAGTGGCGTGATCTTGGCTCACTGCAATCTCTGCCTCCCGGGTTCAAGCAATTCCCCTGCCTCAGCCTCCTGAGTAGCTGGGACTACAGGCACACACCACCATGCCCAGCCATTTTTTTTGTATTTTAGTAGAGACGGGGTTTTACCATGTTGGCCAGGATGGTCTCGATTTCCTGACCTCGTGATCCACCCGCCTCAGTCCTGTTTCTCTTGGAACAAGACAGGGCTTACGGCATTTTTGCTTAAAACGTTATTAATGGTGAATATTTTGTTTTATTAATATATCCAGGATTTAAAACTCTTCAATTTCTCCAGACCCAGGGACTATCATGGAAGGTATGAATGCATGAGATTGTAAGGGCCAGTTCTTGTGGAATAAAATTAATTCACACCCCCCAAATAAAGGATGGGCATACAGATGCCTAAACAGCTAAATAAAATATTATGTTTTCTATAGCTATGGTTCCTATAAGCCAAGATTACAACAGCTCAATGCATAAAATTCAGAGAAAATTCAGTTATATAACCTTACCTTTTGACTTTTAGTTTTGGCTCTTACATTGCTGAAATGGGATTTTAAGGATTAATGACAGCCTGCCGCATTCATTCCAGTCTGGCCTACAGACTGGAATTGGATATAATTGGATATAAGACTTCTGGTTCTAAGTCCCTTGGCCATAGTGGTCGCCCCAAGGAACATGATGGACACAGGTCAGGTAGCACGCCGCTCTGCCATTGACATGAGAGAAAATAAAAGTGTGGCTACCCATACTGCCTCTGGCATATCTTGACAAAAAAGGAGAATATAAACTATAAAATAAAGTCCTAAGCCCCCACCAACTTAATGGACACTCCCTACACCCATGTTAGCCAAAGCAACCTGAAAAACTAATTCAGGCCATGACAACAAGAGGGGTGTTGAACAAGCTTCACTACACCTTCCTCCCATTATGGGAATTTAGGCACAACTGATCAGCATTAACATTACAATAAAAACTGTAAAACAGACTCTTTATAACAATAAAATACCAAATTATGAACAGGACTTAAAAACATGCCAGGCAAGGGTTAAGTCTCACATTCCTACACTTTAAAAAAGCAGACTATGTTTACAACCGCCACAAGGTTTCTGTGTTTCTCTAGCAGCCAAGCAAGCACTAGCCTCAAGATAAGCTGACTGATCCCAGCCACTGTTCAACCAGCCATAACTACAGATTGAAGTAGACTAGAGACTAATTTCAGTAAGTATCTCCTGATAAACGATCACTCACCATAAACTAGTTTTGGCCGGTTTACAGTAAATGCACACTTTTGTGCCTTTGTCCTCAGAAGAACTTTTGAAATATAGGGTATAATTATAATACATTTAAAAGTTAAGTCTCTGCTCCAAAATAAATAAGTCATATGTTCCATGGATATTTGTTAATACACATGGGTCAGGACCACCTTCACGAACATTTACAACTCCTCCTGTAGCCTGTTAAGTATGTATAGTTAACCAACTTGTCTTCGTATCTCCACAGGAGCTCTGGGTACAACTGACATTTGGGGCTTTGCACTATAATTAAGACTAAATGCTGTGTGTACTTCCTGGGTAACTCCAGAAACATATCCTCAGCCCTAAAAGACATGCACAAGCAAACTAATGCTATGTCTAATCTCATGATGTCTTTAAACCATATGGCTTTAGATATCTTCACCGCAGCCAAGGGTGGCACTTGTGCATTCATTAAGGCTGACCATTTTATACACACACACACACACACACACACACACACACACACACCAGATTATTCTCACAATATAACCCAAGCTATACATGTAGATACCCATATTTCTGTTATAGATGCCCTCTCCCAGGACTCTATGGCACCATGATTTAGTTGGCTTCCTGGTGCATAAAATACTTTTATATATATTATTAATACTGTTAAGTGCCCTCTTCAGCTGCTATGAATTTTATTGCTGTTGTACACTCTGCATGGAGATGCAGGAAATCATTCTAATAAATTCTTGGATCCTCACACCATATATGCACAGTAAGTTCCTGCTGAAAACTCAAGAATATTTCCAACTCTAGGTAAACAGATTCCATTCTGATGCTCTATAACTATGCCCCCTTTCAGTAGGAAGCAGACCAAATGAAGATGATGCTCCAATTGAATAAAAATAAGTAGAATTTGACAGTGGGGTGTTGTAACCAAGTACTTCATTTTCCTTAAAAAATATTTAGTTTTTCTTTTTCCTGTGTGTTCATGTCTTACCTAGCTCCTTAGAAATGCAAATTCAAACTTTTCCCTCCTTCCTTTCCACCAGCCAAACCACCAGCAAGCACTGTCAGCTTAGCTAAGTATATGTTTGTTTAGAAATTACCAAATCTTGAACGAAAATAAGCATCCCCCAGAATTCTCCTCCATAGAGAGATTGTCTCAATACATCAGTTAATCCTCAACCTGACTCTGTCCCCAGTGATGCTGGGCAGGCTAAGGAATGACCCAAGACTAGAGATAAGTCATCCAGCAAGTCATGTAGATCCTACACCTCCACACCCCTTCTGCATGCCCTGATTGCCAATATTTCTTCTTAAAACCCTGTTTTCTCCCCAGAAACTTATATGGTTCCTTTAGATACGAATCCAGCCCTTCCACATTGCTAAGCTCTGGAAATAAAGTGACTTTCTCTTTTTTTTTTGGAGACGGAGTCTCGCTCTGTGCCCCAGTAGCTGGGATTACAGGCGCACAGTACTGTGCCCGGCTAATTTTTATATTTTTAGTAGAGACAGGGTTTTACCATATTGGCCAGCCTGGTCTTGAACTCCTGACCTCAGGTGATCATCCCGCCTCGGCCTCCCAAAGTGCTGGGATTACAGATGTGAGCCACCGCGCCCGTCCAGTGACTTTCTTTTTACTACCCTTCTGTTACTTGATTTTGGAAGTGGCCATGGCCAAACCTGGGTTTGGTAACAAAATGGTGCCAGGCTGTCGTACGACAGATGAGGGGCACTTTTTTCCTTAAAGCAGGATCTGTCAATTCTGTATACAGCACTGAAGCCCACAGACCCTGACTGCTGCCATACCTAGCAGGGCAAGTGCCCATCTATTATTACATATTCCCATAAAATACCAGTGTTTTTGCTCTGTTGATTGCTCATGTCTCACACATCTTGAACAAGTGTTTCCAACCCTCGCATGTTTTTTGACTAAGACAACAAAAATTAAAATCTAAAAGGAGCATAATCATGAAAGCCTTTTGAGAATATTAAGGTAGGTGAAAATGACAATAAACAAAAAAATTGAAATTCCCTTTTTACAAGTCAATGGCACAAAAGTATTTTCTGATTACAGCACTCAATGTACACATTTTCTAAGCTGTATTTTTTATATCTCTGAGAACTAAAACCAAATTTAATAATCACTCATCAAAACTAAGAAAAAATAATTTCTAATAGAATAGGTGATCTGTACAAAGAAATGTCATGTACACATTTATGGAAGTGAGGTGGAAGGAATTATGGAGTCCAGGCATTGTCTAAATATTTGTATAAGGAGAAGATAAAGCAACATCATGAAGTTCACACCTGCACAGTTAGGAAGTGGTTGTTCCTTCTATTCAGACGTGAAGTGTTACTGTACCGCTACACAAATCAATACTTTGTTAACCTTCCACACGTACAGCAAACTAAGCCATATAATGGAAAGTTTCACACATCTTTTTAAGCATGAGGATCTGAGCCAATTTTGCCTTGTGGCTTCCAGAACAGTTTCTGTCCTTCTCCTTTTCAACCAGAGACATTTCAGAGAAAATTTGTACAAAAACATAAAACAGAGAATGTGTAACATCTGTCTTTTCTAATAAAAGTGATATTCACATTCAGTTTAGGAGAAATATGAGAAAAGATTAAAATAATTAAAAGTGTTCATTGAAAAATAATTGTGAATGCATTTTTAAAAGAGGAATAAAGACCTTAAATACACAACACAAAAATAAAAATTTTTAGATGATGTTTATGAGAACAAAAAAAGAAAAAATTACATCCAAGTGTTAAACACATTTGCACAACAAATCATATCAAAACCAGGATAAACACTACAATGCAAGAAATAAAGTCTTAAGGTATCACTGGTCAGCCAGCAGAATCAGTACTGAATAAACTCAGCCTTATTCAAAAGAACTGAATTCCCCACCTCACCAACAGAAAGGACAGGGAGCTGCTGCCCTTGTGCATGGAGACCCCAGACAGTGTCTCTGAGCTCAGAGGCTCCCATGTGGCTTTGATTTTGGTGGACATGGTCCGGAGGAGAAACAATCTGTCACAGGGGCATCTACACCAGTGCAGGAGGTTACTATGGGTGCATCTCAAGGTTTTCAGTACTACTGGCTGTTGCTGAAAGTATACATAAAGTGGGGAGTGGTGTTGGGGGATTGTCTAAGATTCACAAGGATATTAAGGGATTTAAGAGTCTACAGCAATGTTCTAAGTTCTAAACCAGCCGGGTGTGGTGGCTCACACCTGTAATCCCAGCACTTCAGGAGGCTGAGGTGGGTGGATTGCTTGAACTCGGGAATTCGAGATCAGCCTGGGCAACAAGGTGAAACCCCATCTCTACAAAAAATACAAAAAAAAAAAATTTAACTGGACATGGAGTTGTGCACCTGTGGTCCTAGCTACTTGGGAAAGTGAGGTGGGAGGATTGCTTGAGTCCAGAAGTCGAGGCTCCAGTGAGCCAAGATCTTGCCACTGTACTCCAGCCCAGGTGTAAGAGCCAGATCCTGTCTCAAAAAAAAAATTAAAATTTATTCTTTTTTTAAAAAAAGTTCTAAACCTACAGCTTTACTCAAGGTACAGCTGAAAGTATTGGTGTAGGTGCAAGACATGCAGGTTGTTACATTTTTTACTTCATTATAGAGAAGTACCGTGGCTAAAAGAAGAGGCTCTGGGACAGGCACAGTGGCTTACACCTGTAATCTTAGCACCCTGGGAGACAAAGCAGGGAGGATTGCTTGTGGCTAAGAGTTCTACACTAGCATGGGAAACACAGGAAGACCTGGTGTCTACCAAAAAAAAAAAATTAATTAACCAGGCATGGTGGCTTGTGCCTGTAGTCCTAGCTATTCAGGAGGCTGAGAGGGGAGTATCATTTGATCCCAGTAGTTCGAACACAGAATCTGCTCTACGATTGAGCCACTATACCCTCACTGGACAACAGGATGAAATCTTCTCTCTCTCTTAGAAAAGAAAATATATAAAGCAACCTCTGGAGAAAAAATTATTGTTCTAAATAGACTCTCTTAATAATAAGACAGTGTGGGCTAGGTGCAGTGACTCACACTTGTAATCCCAGCATGTTGGGAGGCCGAGGCGGGCAGATCACCTGAGATCAGGAGTTCGAGACCAGCCTACCCAACATGGTGAAGCTCCATCTCTAATAAAAATAAAAAACAATTAGCCGGGTGTGGTGGTGCACACTTATAATCCATTACTCGGGAGGCTGAGGCACAAGAATCGTTGAACCCTGGAGGAGGAGGTTGCAGTGAGCCAGGATTGCACCATAGCACTCCAACCTGGGCAACAGAGTGACTCTGTATCAAAAAATATATATATAATAATAATGATAATAATAAGACAGTGTGGAATTTGCACAAAGATAGAAGAAACAACCAGTAACTTAAAAAATAAAAACAGAGCTAGAATGCACACATATACATATACAAAAATTAATTTATACATTGATGCATGGGGGAAAGACCAATTTTTATTAAAGTGTTCCAGGAAATTGAATATCCACAGGGAATAACCAAGATCTGAACTTTGACCTCACATACACACAAAATCAATTCTAGTTGGTTCATAGGCTGAAATATAAAAATAATATTCAGAAAACAATTTAGGAAAATATCTTCATGACAGAGGGTAGGCTGAGCTGTCTAACGAGACCTGAAAATTATTTACCATGTAATACAAGACACATTCTACATAGTCAAAGTGAGCAAAGACTCTGGGGCAGACAGTATCAAACTCAAGGTTCCTTTATACCTTTCCTGCAGAAAGTCAGCTCAGACTCCAAAATGGACCACAGATGTGAAAATCATGCTTACTTCTTGAGATGTCAGTGTGGATTGTATGAAATGATAACATATAAAGCTTGTAGTGTATTATCAACCCTATACTAACCCCTAAAAATTAATTTTCTAATAAATTGTGAGATATATCATTTGTGTATTGTAACATGTCATTATTTCATACACCAGAATGGAAGAACAAAACCACTAACAAATGAAGAAACTAGTACTTTTATCACTTATAAATAAATCACATAGTAATAACATAAATACATTACAATTACTGGAAAAAATATTTTCAATGTGCATACATGTGGATATTTGTCTTGTGTCATTCCTACATGGGATGGAACATACAAGAAAAATACATTGACAAAGGTTTTCCTAAATTTTCTCTCATTGAGATGTAACTCTCCTGAATCACTCTTCAACTCATCTGCTCATGATTTTCCCCATATTATTATCACCTGTGCTAATCTGACGCTTTGGTGATGCTGCACTTCTTGCGAGATTCCTATGTTGCTCCTGTGAGTTTATCTTTCCAACCGTCTGAAACCCCCTATGCAAGACATGATGTTGATGATATGACCTGAAGATGTCAATGGAAGGTTTATAGACCAAGCTCATGTATATGTAAATGAGGACAATCACGTTATGGTCACCTTCTCGTCAATAATGTTTTAACACTAATAAATTTAAGGTGCATCTGTGCTTCATAAAAGTGAAAATGTGCCCTCTACGATGAATGGAATACACTGTCCTCTGTGACTGCCCATTTCTCAGTGTTAGATTATGGTGGCTCATCAACTGTATTCTTATCTGTTATTGAAGAAACATGCTTAAATCTTATCACATAAGTTTACCAAGTGTATTTACATTCTACATAGCTATTAGAGACATTACAGTTATTAGTGGAATTCTATAATTCTTCGGTTATGCATGGAAATGTAGTTTTATGAATTATGGTTTAAGAAATCCATTGAGGAAGAAGATAGAAATTATAAAGAGTTACTTGAAAAATTCACTCGAGTGATAGCTTTCTAAAGACCTAGAAAAAGCTGTATCTTGAAACTTCCCACTGCAATCTTAGGAATTTGACCAATGACCCTTGTAAGCTTCATTATAAATTCCATGCTTTCAGCTATAACATTTATGTAACTCTTTTTTCTTCATTCCCATTTGCTGTTTTAACCATATGGTCGGTGATCATAGAAATCACTTGGTAATTAGTCACTGCAGAAGTAGATGCATAATGGTCTTTATAAAATGTTTTAATCTGCCCCCTTGCTACTTTGCTCAACCCTAATTTGGGTACTTGGATTTGAGGATTGCTTTTGGTTTTCCCTCAGGAATATACTGATTGAAGAAGAAACACATAAAGTATGAATTTCTATATACCCAAAATGCAGTCAACCTCCTAAACTATGGGAGTTTCTTTATGTGTATGCAGAAACTCACATACAAAAACAAAAACTCACATAATTTAGGAGGTTGACTGAATTTTGCCCTACAGTTTTAAATTCCAGCAAGGCTAAATTAAATAAAGATAAAGTCATGCTCTCAAATATCCAAGACATTCTTCCATTGAACTCCAACTTCTAATCAGGTTAGAGCGTGGAAACAAAGTGTTGGGTGTTTGCCTCATGATCTGGTCTAGAATTTGGTTTCTCTTAAATGGTATCTCTTTTAGAATTGTGGTGTCCAGGCCAGCCTCTAAGGAACTGTTGGTTTAAGATATTGTGGGAAATCACATCTTCCATGCAGCTAGAGTTTGTCTGGAGACTCATTGCTCAGCACTTTGTCAGCTGCTTTCTCCACTTACTAGCATCCAACTGCAAAAAATCTGTTGTGTAAAAGATTCATATACAGGTCTCTGCAAGTAGGGACTGGCCCAAACCAATTTATTAGAAACATTTGTTGTATTCTGCTTACCTGCTACCTTGGTGGCTTTAGGGTTGGCAGTGGGCAACTTAATTCCACAAAGTGAGTGTCAACAGAATGCACAGTCCCAAGTGATTCCTGATAGAGTCTGTAGAATCAAAATAGCTAAATTAGAACATATTTTTCTGAAATGTTTGAAGGTACAGTTGTCTTTTGATTACTTGAAGAAGAAATCCCTGTACCAAGAAAACATTATCCTGAATGCAGAAATATGATTTATGTTCCCTGTCACTGAAATTTCTTATTCTTGCCTTCTAATATCTGAGAGTCATATCTCCCAAAAATGCTTCAGTGGGATCCTGAATATACACTGCGAAGTGATGTCTACACATGGGGATTTCCGGGATATGTGAAGGAAAGGCAACTTTATCTGAATAAGTGGTTTCTGACACTCTAACTGCTAAGTGCGTAACGGAGAAGGAGAAAAAGGATGACAGTCCCTGGAGCTTGATGGTGCCTTCTTGAAGCAGGTTCACCTGGGTTTGGAAAGGCAACTAGATAAAAAAGGCTAGATTGCTTTTCTCTCTGTATGTGCCCATTTGTCTCTGGAAGCCAAAGTTTTTTGCTTGTGTCTTTGTTTTCTTTTAAAAAATATAATAATTTTAGAAAACAAATTTATTTTGAAATAATTGCAGATTTACAAAAAGATACACAGGTAGAACAGACAGTTCCATATACCCTTCAGCTAACTAGAATGTACTATTCTAACCATAGTATATTCATGAAAACTAAGAATTTCACTGTTTCAAAACTATTAACTGATCTACAGACTTCCTTCATATTTTACCAGAATTTCTTTTTGTTATATTTTGTTTTGTTTTTGAGACAGAGTCATGCTCTGTCACCCAGGCTGGAGTGCAGTGGCGCGATCTTCGCACACTGCAACCTCCACCTCCCGGGTTCTGGCCATTCTCCTGCCTCAGCCTCCTGAGTAGCTGGGACTACAGGCACCCGCCACCACACTTGGCTAAATTTTTGTATTTTTATTAGAGAGGGGGTTTCACCATGTTAGCCAGGATGGTCTCAATCTCCTGAACTGATTATCCACCCGCCTCTGCCTCCCAAAGTGCTGGGATTACAGGCATGAGCCACCACACCCAGCCTCAGAATTTCTAATAATGATATATTTATCTGTTCAAAGACCTAACCCAGAATACCACATTGCAATTACTTTCAAGTATATTACTTATGACTTGGTGCATAACAAATTCCTACACATCTTAGTGGTTCAAAACCACACACATATTACTCACTGTTTCTCTAGGTCTTCAGTCCAGATGTAGGTGATGGTCCAGGCTAAGGCTCAGCTGGGGAAGGGTCTCCTTCCAAGCTCATGTAACTGTTCTTAGGATTAACCTCTCTGACCTCATCAAGAAGAATTCATTAGTGAATTATTAGAATGACTTAAAAAATTAATACTAATTTATTACAAATTATTTCAAAAAAGTGGAGAAGGCATGATTTCCCATTATATACAGAGTTAGTTTACTCTGATACCACAACTAGACAAAGACATTTCAAATATGGAAAATGAAGAACACTATACCTTATGAATACAGGGGCAAAAATCATCAAGGAAATATTAGTAAAACAAACCAGAAACATGTAAAAAGTATTATACAGTATGTCAAGGGTATTTACCTCAGGAAAGCAAAATTTGGTTCAACATACAACTAGCGTTATGCACTATATTCATATAATAAAGAACAAAAACCACATAATCATCTCAGAAGACGCATAGGCACTTCAGAATTCTCAAAATCCCTGAGAAAGACATGCAGCAAATGAGGCAGATAAGGGAACTGTCTTCCTTTTAAAGAGGATCCATGAAAAACCAACATACCATCATAAGTTATCTGAAAGGTTCACTAATTTCTCCAAGATTAGAAACAAGACAAGGATTTCCACTCTTGACACTTGTTTTCAACATTCTACTGGAGGATATAGACATGGCAATTAGTCTAGAAAAATAAATGTAAGGCTTCCAGTATGGAAAGGAAGTCAAACTATGTCTGCTGGCATATGACCTGATCTTATGTATAAAATTTCCAAAGGGCTTTAATCAAATATGGTTAGAATTTAGAAATGAGTTCAACAAACTTACAGTATATAAGGTCAATACATATAAAATCCTCTGAATTTCTATATGCTAGCAATTAAATTCAGAATGTTCCATTCTAAAACAATGTTCAATGTTCCATTCTAAAACAAATTCAGAATGTTCCATTTGAGACGGCATCAAAAATGAGTTTATCAAGTTAAGTATATGATATATACACAAAAACTATAGAAAACATTTTGAAAAAAATGGAAAAAAACCTTTGACTATTCATTGCTTATAAAGGTTAATGTTGTTAGCCTGGCAATATTTTCCAAATGGATCTATAGATTTAATGCAACCTCTATCAAAATCCCAGGTGACATTTCCTTTTTCTAAATTCACAAAGTTTATCTAAAATTCATATATAATGCAATAGACACAGAGCAGCCTAAATAATTTTGAGAAAGAAGAAAAAAGGTTGGCATGGGAGATACATACTTCCTGACTTCAAAACTCACTGCAAAGTAATAGTAATCAAGATTTATGGTACTAGTATAAGAATATAGATGTTGATCAATGTAATAGAATATAATGTTCAAAAATGAATACTCACATTTATAGCGAAATAATTTTATAATGTCACCAAATAAATTATATATGGATAAATATTTTTAATAAAATATTTCTGAAACAAGTGCATATTCCATGGAAGTCGAACTCCTGCCTCACACTGAAATTGACTCAAAATCATCATATATCTATATATAATAGCTAAACAGGCCCAAAATATAGAAAATATCACAGGAATGCATCTTCGTGGTCTTAGGTTAAACACTCTTTTCTAAGATATGATGCTGAAAGCAAAAGGGAAGAAGAAAAAACAGGTATATTAAACCTCATTAGAATTTGAAACTTTTGTGATTCATGCTACACCATCAAAAATAAAGACACCCAAAGAATGAGAGTAAATATTTGCAAACAAAAGCAAAAATTGGCAAATGAAATCTAATTAAACTTAACAGCTTCTGCACAGTAAAAGAAAACTATCAACAGAATGAACAGACAACCTACAGAATGGGAGAAAAGTTTTGCAAACTATGCATCTGACCAAGGTCTAATATCCAGCATCTATAAGAAACTTAAACAAATGTTCAAGAAAAAAAACCAACCCCATAAAAAACAGGGCAAAGGACATCAACAGACACTTTCAACAGACGATATATATGCGGCTAACAATCATATGAAGAAAAGCTCAACCTCACTGATCCTTAAAGAAATGCAAATCAAAACCACAATGTGATACCATCTAACACCAGTCAGAATGGCTATTATTAAAAAGTCAAGAATTAACAGATGCTGGCAAGGTTGCGGAACAAAGAAATTACTTACACACCGTTGGTGGACGTCCAAATTAGTTCAACCATTGTGGAAGGCAGTGTGGAGATTCCACAAAGACCTAAAAACAGAAATATCATTTAACCCAGCAATCCCATTACTGAGCATATACCCTAAGAAATAAAAAGTGTTCTACGAAGAAGACACATGCATGCATATGTTCATTGCAGCACTATTCACAATAGCAAGAATATGGAATCAGCCTAAATGCCCATCAATGGTGGACTGCATAAAGAAAATGTGGTACATATACACCATGGAACATTACGTAGACATAAACAAGAATATCATGTCCTTTACAGGAAAATGGATGGAGCTGGAGGCTATTATCCTTAGCAAACTAATGCAGAAACAGAAAACCAAATACCGTATTTTTTCCCTTGTAAGTGGGAGGTAAATGACGAGAACACATAAACATACAGCAGGGAACAACACAAGCTGAGGCCTATCAGATGGTGGAGAGTGGGCGGCGAGAAAGCATCAGAAAAAATAACTAATGGGCACTAGGCTTAGTACATTGGTGATGAAAATAATCTACATCAAACCACCATAACACAAGTTTACCTATGTAACAAACGTGCACATGTACCCTGAAAATTAAAATAAAAGTTAAATTAAAAACGAAATATTTGCAAATTTTATAGGTGATAATGGTCTACTGTTAATAATATATGACAACATCCTAGAGCTCAAAAATAAAAAGGCAAATGTCTCAATCAAAAATGGAAATTATTCAAATACCCAATTCTCCAGAAAAGCTATGGTCATATCCAAATCACATGAAAAGACACTCAATGTCTTTTGCCATTATGAGGTAGGACACCGGCAAGTTGTTTCCTAGTCACAACCCTGCTGATCAAAACAAGATCTGGTCCAGACAGCATACAGTGAAGAAACTGGCAAAAAGAGACACAGGGATTCCTGGTTGTCCTCATTGCTCACTGGCATGAGACATTCCCTCCAGCGCCATGATTGTTTACAAATTCCATGCCAGCAACCCAGAATTTACCACCTCTTTCCATGGCAACAACCCAGAAATTACCACTCCTGTCCTGGAAAGTTCTGAATAACCTGCCCATCAAGTTTCATTGATCCACCCCTCAATTTACATGTAATTGAAAGTGGGTGTACCTTAGTGTAAAGATAGTTGACAAGGGCCCATAGGTTACCAACCGATGCAATGTCTATGAATTAGCCCTGCTCTTTAAGAAGCAGTCCTGTTCAATAAACCATTTCTGTCCATCACCACTGGCTTGCCCTTAAATACTTTCCCAGGCAAAGCCAAGAACCCTTCACTGAAGCCCCAAATTTGGGGATCACCTGTCCTGCAACAATAGGGGAAGGGAAGTCTAAAAAAACATGATACATACTTCAAAAATCTAAAAGGTATCTTGCTATGTGACAAAATATAAGTTGGAAAAGGCAAAATACTGTGTAATTCCACCTACATGACTCTCTAGAAAAGAAAAAAAAGTATAGTGATAGCAAAGAGTTCAGTGGTAACGAGGAGCTTGGGAAAGAGAAGGTGGGATGCGTGAAATACAGGAGGTTTCTTTGGGGCAGTGAAATTACTCTCTCTGATATTGTAATGGTGGATAAATAATAATGTTTTCTGAATCCTGAAGAACTTTATAACACAAACAGTGCATTTAAATTATGCAAATTTAAAACCTTATTTAGTAGGTAGAGGGTTTCCAAGGAGGAATGCCCAAAAAAATAATATAACTATGTAATGAATGTATGGAATAGCCTCACTAAAGAAAGTAGAGGAAAGCAATGGACCTAAGTAATTTGGGAAATAAGTGGACATTCTGAGGCTAAAAGCCAAAGTATTTATACCTAAGTACTGTACTTTACTTGGTAAAATTGTCTCCCATTGGGGTATAAGTTACCAGTTCTGAAACCACTCTGCATGGATGTTCAGGTAGTACGATTAAGTGAACAGCATCAACTTCTTCACAGGGAGAGTAAGAGACTACATACATCATTCACATGGTGCTGGATTAGATCATATGGTATTGGAAACATTAGTAGAAATTATACAATCATACAATTAGCCTGCAGTACAATTAAATGCACAGTTAGCCTGGAGCACCTAGTAGTGGTTAAAGAAAAGAAAATGCTAAACAACAACAAAACCAACCAACCATACAACATTGAACCTTAATTATGTGGGTATTTCAAAATTATACCAGAGACAACTAAAAAACCTTCCAATAGCCAACCATGGAACAATTTGAGCAATCAAATAAATTAGCATATGTAAAGTGTAAAATAAACATCCATGTTGAGATGATGATATAAATAATTTATGTATAAATGAATAAATATGTAATGGAATAGACACATGTTTATGGTTGAGGGTTCAAATATATTTGTAGACATTCTGCCAATAAGAAGGTAGATCATGAATACCCACTTTTTTTTTTTTGAGATGGAATCTGGAGTCTCGCTCTGTTGCCCAGGCTGCAGGGCAGTGGTGTGATCTCAGCTCACTGCAACCTCTGCCTCCCAGGTCCAAGTGATTCTCCTGCCTCAGCCTCCCGAGTAGCTGGGAGTACAGGCACGAGCACTGTGCCTAGCTAATCTTTGTATTTTTAGTAGAGACAAGGTTTCGCCATGTTGGCCAGGCTGGTCTCAAACTCCTGAACTCAGGTGATCTGCCTGCCTCAGCCTCCAACAGTGCTGGGAGTACAGGCGTGAGCCATCGTGCTTGGCCCATGACCCCCACTTCTTGAATGCGTGTTGTTTTAGTGACTTTGTTTGGAAACATTCTATGGGGAAAGGGAAAAATAATAATAATTTCACAGTGTTTGATAATTTGATAAAAACAACCTCATCTAGGTGATCAAATTAACATTAACAATGATAAAGCCTGTTGAGAGCCTGTGCCCTTGGTATGATGTGAGGAGAATGGCACCTTTCCTCTGTCATCTTCCTCTCCTAAACCCACACATCTAGTCTTAACATGAAAAAAACCTCAGAGAAATCCCACATTAGGAATGTCAATGTCATCAAAAACTAGGAAACTCTAAGAAACTGCAACAGTCAGAGAAGTCTAAGAAGACATGATACCTAACTGTGCTGAGGTATCCTGGATGGGATCCTGGAATAGAAATTAGACATTAAGTGAAAACTAAGAAAATGTGAATAAACTATGAAGAGTGGATAATGATACTGTTTAAAATTGGTTAATTGTGACAAATGTCCTAAATTAAGAAGTTAATAAAAAGAGCATCTGTAGTGGGAAATATGGAAAGTCTATGTACTGTATTTAAAACAATTCTGTAAAACCTAAATGATTCTTAAATGTATAAAGTTTCTTTTTATTTAAAGTCACTGCTGATCTTATAAAATAGAACATGAGCAATATGTTGATGGCCATTCATGGATCTCCTTAGCTTCATCACCTTCCTTAATCACTGAAGGTCGCTATTACTGTGAATTTATTTATCCTCTAATTTGTGTTTGTTATATTTATCTCTATGTTTATATTTCTAATATCCATAATGTTTAGTTTTTCTTGTCTTCAAACTTAGATGACATGTGTTTAATGTATACATGTCCCTAGTTTAATCATGAGAAATCATGAGACAAATCCATATTGTGGGACATCTTACAAAATATCTGACCTGTACACTTCAACAGGGTCAAGGTCAAGAAAAAGAAGTGAAGACTATGAACTTGCAGATTGGAGAAGACCTAATGTGTCAGTTAGACCCTGCAATGGTACCCAACGATCCCCAACTGCAAGAAATACCTGTGCTTTGTTGAGTTGCCTCCTCTGTGTCTCACACGAGCAACACATGTGAACTCAACTGTTTTCGAACTCAGAGCTCTCCTAGATAGTGGCTACCTTGGTGGGAATGGAGTGGACACAGGTCCGACAAGTGCAACAAGGGTGTCTGACGGTATAAACAAATATCCTGTGAGAAGGATGCTGGGTCAAAGATTGTACACTTATGCTTTGGGGTATCCACCAGGATAAATAAGTATCCCATGAAAGGCACACTGTAAACATCCAGGACACAGTTTCCTGAAGTCCTGTTGGGCAGGGTGATAATTTATAGTCACTGTCCCTAGAGAGACCTCAAGTGGTTATTAAACATAACAAAAATACAAGAGATGTAGAGGTGATTTTATAAATTATGGCTCAAAGATCCCATGGAGAAGGAAGATAGAAATGGTGAAGTGTTACTTGAAAGTTTGCAGCGGAGTGTAGCTCTCTGAAGACAGAAAATCCTGTATCTTGAGACTTTTTGCCTTAATCTTAGAAATATAAGCAGAGATTATTCTAAGTTGCTTTCAAATCCGATTCTTCATCCAGATCAACTACATATTTTTTTCTCCCTCCCCTTTTATCCTTCGTATCCCATGAACGATGGTCATGTGAATCTCACTGTAAGCAGGGACTGCAGACACCTGTGCATTGCTGTTTTCACGAAATGCCTTGCTCTGACCACTTGTTACTCTTGTCAGCCCCGCTTGTCGATACTTAGAAAATGAAACAGGCTTTGATGTTCCCCAAATAGTGTACTGAATGAAGAGGAAACTCTTATAATTTATAATTTAGAATGTTGAGCATATTTGTACCGAGAGTTTCAGCTTCTACTAGGGCTCAATTCAGTGAACAAGAAGCCCTAATCTCAAGTGTAGGAGTCATGCACCCTTTAAACTTGATTCAGTATTCAGACTAGAGGGCAGAGACAGCACTGGGTTCTTGCCTAAGGATGTGGTCAGATGATGGGGTGTTTTCAATGGCATCTTTCTGAGAATTCTGGTGGCCAATCCAGATTCAGCCAATCCAGACTCATGGTAATGTTTAGGAGCTTAGTGCTCAGCACTGTGTCCTCTGTGCCTGGGACATTATGGTAGCAGAGTTTCATGTCTAATCACTTTTCCAGTCTTAAACCTGAGCACTCAGAGCTCCTCAACCCTCTTGCCACCTAGAGATGAGTCTGTCCTTCTACAAATCTACTTCTGTCTCCTTCATGGCCTGCCACTTGGTGATTTTTTTTTCCTGAAGAATTTGGTCATGGATGATCTTAACAGTACACATCATAATAGACCATATGTATGCATTGAAATAAAGAGGAAAACGGGATTGTACAAGTCACTTACCTTACAGAAACTCCTGTTATAATGAAATAAAAAGAGCAAACCTCCATGACTTAAGATTGCCAATTTAAATGAAACTATCCTTTCCTATGGGGTGAATTGTAAGATTAGAGGGGTAAGAAGGTTTACTGAATTATAAATGCCCCAAATAATAGCACCTGAATTACTGCTACAATCTTCTCAGAAGTGAGAAATACGGTCAAGGTCAGCTGTGTCTCTCATTCTAGGTCTCCAGGACTCAGGAGTTTGTTTTCCCACTGAAGATATGAACATGGTATGGAGAATGCAGTCCATGATCATGGTCTGAAAAAGCAAGAGTCTTGACTTTGTGGATGTCCTTGGGAGTGTAGTATGCAGTCCCATGGCTTAGTAAGCTTTGTGGGCATGGTTCCTGGAACATCCCTGGTGTTCCTCTGTAAAGTGGTGTGGCCTGTGAACAAGGAGCTGTGTTGGGGAAGGGGAACAGTCCTCCCTGCCGTGGGGATCTTTGTTTAGCCCGCACATATGCACAGTCAGCACTCGGCCTCTGTCCATCTCTTAGATCACTACATGGTGGGCTGGGGTACGTTATACTTTCTTTCCTTTTTTCTATTAGGCTATTTCCACCTCTGCACAACACAATCTGTATTACTAACATGCCTCACCTTCATATATCTGATGTCTGTCTAAAGGTTCATTTCCACGTCTTTTTGAGCAGGAATGAACCTACAACTCCATGATTATAAACTTTTTTCATATCTAGTTAACTTTCCTCCATGATAATGTCTATTCTGTGGCTTTTGGGTTTATCACTTGAAATGGTTTGGCTGTGTCTCCACCCAAATCTCACCTTGAATTGTAACAATCCCCATGTGTCAAGGGCAGGGCCAGGTGGACAAAACTGAATCATGGGGGCAGTTTCCCTCATACTATTCTCATGGTAGTAAATAAGTCTCACAAGATTTGATGGTTTTATAAATGGGAGTTCCCCTGCACAAGTTTTCTTGTCTGCCACTATGTAGGATGTGACTTTGCTCCTCATTTCCCTTCTGCCATGATTGTGAGGCCTCCCCAGCCATGTGCAACTGTGAGCCAGTTAAACCTCTTTCCTTTATAAATTACCCAGTCTTAGGTAAGTCTTTATCAGCAACATGAGAACAGATTAATATACCACAGGACAATATAGATCCATGATGTGAGTGTCAAGAGAATGTGTGGTCCCATAAATCCATAATGGAGTCTGCATGATGAAGAAAACTGAATTATTACAGTATTTTCTCAAAGGCTTAAGGCATCCTCTTCCTTTAAAACTTGGGGAATAAAAGGAATCCCTGTACTAAGAAAACACTCTTAATTCAGAACTATTTATGTTCACCATCACTGGTGTTTCTCAATCTTTTCTTCTAATATCTGGAAGTCATGTCTTCTAAAATGTCTTTATAGTGAGATCCTACAAAGACACTGACAGAAAGTGCCTGAAAACAGGGCCTTCTAACATATGTGAGAAAGGCGTCTTTCCTTGAAAAAGTGGTTATGAACACAGGAATTGATAACTGGGTAATGGGAAGTGTGATGGGAAAGAGGAAAGTGGATGAGTGTCCCTGGAGCTTGATGGTGTCTTTCTGAAGCAGGTGCCCTGTGTAGGAATGGGGGATAATAAGGCAAGCTACTTTGCCATAGTCTCCCTATATCTCCATTTGTCCTCTGATCTGTGGTTTTATTGTGGTTTAAATCTGTCTTTGTTATTGTTGTTTTATTTTCTGGTACCTGAATATTACATTTTAAGAAATATTTTTATTTTATCATAGTTTTAGTTTTACAGAAAGTAGTAAAGATAATAGAGTTTCATATATCCTACAGCTTTCTGAAATGTTAACACCTTATATCACCATAGCATATTTATGAAAACTCAGAAATTGACAGTGGTACAAAACTATTAACTGGAAAAGATTTTCTTCATATTTTACCAGCTTTTCCACTAGTGTCATTTTTCTGTTCTAGGATCTAATCCAAGATACCACATTACATTTACTGTCAGGCATATAACTGACCGATTGTTGTATAACATATTACTACATAGTTTAGACTTTCCAACCCAGCCCTACATAGTACTTACAGTTTCTCTGGGTCAGATGCCTGGCAGAGATTTCAAGGGAAGGCTCATCTGGGGAAGGATCACCTACCCAGCTCCTGGGATTCTCGGGAGGATTCAATTTCTGTCCAGGTCAAGATGACTTCACTGGTGAGTTATTCAAACCTTTTTGGGAATTAATAACAATCAATAAAAACAAACAAGTAGAGAACTTTTCCTAATGCAATGTATGAATCCAGTGTTCCCTGACACCACAGCTAGACAAAGACATTTCAAGAAAAGAAAATTACAGACCAGTGTGAAACAGGTAAAAAGTATCAAGGAAATACTATCAAAATTAACTAGTAATATATAAAAAGGAGTATACATTAGGAGCAAAACTATTTATCCCTGCAATGTAAGTCTGGTTAAACATACAAAAACAACTGGTGTTATAAAATATACTAATAGAATTTTTTAAAAAGACTCATGGTCACCTCTAAAGACACAGAATAGGCATTTGACAAATTCCAAACCCATTCATGATAAGAGCTCTGGGAAAGTTAGGCATAGAAGAAAACTTTCTAAACCTACAAAGAGCATCCATGGAAAACTCACATAACATGAGGAAAGACATATAAGCCAACCGAATAGAGTTGAGCACCCCAAAATCAATCTTTATATATAGGGCAAACTTATTTTCAAGGTTGAAAAATTAATTCAAGATGAGAAAGTAGTTTTTCAGCAAATGTTGCTGGGAGAAAGGGATATCCACATGCAAGTTAAACTGTTTCCTGCACCATATATGTATTTGACTCAAAATAGAATATGTGGCTAAATATAAGAGCTAAAACTAAAAATCCCACAGAAGAGAACATAAAAATAGATTTTCATGGCCTTACATGAAACAATGGATTCTAACATGTGACACAAAAGTACAAGTGACAGAAAAAAAAATAGATACATTGAACTTCATGTGGATCAATACCTCTTAAGATGCAAAGTACACCATCAAGACAACTGAAATAATGGAAGAAGATATTCTCAAGTCATATAACTGTTAGGAGACTATTATCCAGAATATATGAAACATTCAGGCATGCACCACCACACCCAGCTAATTTCTGTATTTTTAGTAGAGATGGGGTTTCGCCATGTTACTTAGGCTGGGCTCAAACTCCTGGCCTCAAGTGATCCACCCACCTGAGCTTCCCAAATTGCTGGGATTACAGGCATGAGCCACTGTGCCAAGCCTCGTTCTTCATTATTATTTTCTAAATTTGTATTTCTAAATAATATATTGTTCAGGTATTTTTTGTCTTCAACATTAGATAAATACGTGTATAAATTAATGTTTAATCTTACTCAAATTATAAAAAAATAACAAATCCATATTGTGATACATCCTATGGAACACCTGACAAGTTCTTTTCACTAAGATCAAGGGCAAAAAAATAAGTGAAGACCCAGAAACTGATACAGATTAGACAGGACCTGATGGGGCAGGTAGGTTCTAAGATGTTTCCCAATGATCCACACCTCTAAATATGCAGAACCCTATTCTAATATCCTCACTGTGAGGTTTAGACATGCCATACCACATGTATAAACAAACACAAAAGGGGCAAAGTGTATGGAACAATGGTTTGTAAGAGAGATTATATCAAACAGTGAAGGACAGCGATACCTGAGACATACAATACTGTGACATGAGCTCTACCATTGCATCAAGATACCACTTTGGGAGATGTTCCAGGCTGTGGTGTGGCACGGACTTTGGAAGACAATGTCAGTTGAGAAGATGGAACTGAGAGTCGAGAACACAATGGCTGGATTGCATCTATCATTTCTTCCCATCCAGTGGTAAGAATGGGAGACAGCATCCACGTCAGCATCCATGCACACTGGACTGCTATTGTCATCATTACTCACTGAAATATGGTTCACAGAAGTACAGGAGCAACGCAGAAACAAAGGCAAAGACACAAAGAAAAGTTACTTGAATGAAGATTTAATATTGCACAAAGACTGACGCCTTTACATGTTGTACAAAAACCAAGGCTTTGGTTTTATCTCAAAATAACCATTTTATCTTATAATAACCATTTGAGATAAAGTAAATGATGTATATAAGTCGAATGAACCAACCAAGTGGACACAAACCTACTTTTACTATGCAATTTTCATACATGTGGCTGATAAACTCACTACATTATGAAATAATGAAAGTGGAGCTTTCTATTTATAAGAGCAGAACAGAATTATCAGAAAAATAAGGATAAAAATATTCTTACCTCCATTTGTTTCCCTATAAAACCTTAAGTTTGCTTTATATTTGGAAAATAATTTGTCACTTTCTTCACTACATCAATTCCACTGCCATTCTAGTTTGCATGGAGTATAGGGTTGCTATTTATATGCAGTAAAATTAAGTTAAATGGTGCCAGGCTGCAATATCATAGATGAGGGGTTGTTATTATTTTTGTTATTTTAACCAAGATCTGTCAATGAAATTCTCCGTGTACAGTATTGAAGCCAAGAGACCCTGACTGCAGCCCTAACTGGAAAATCAAATGCCCATCTACTGATTTGGAGCACTTGTAAAATATCAGTGTTCACGCTCTCTTGGTTGCTCACATCTCATAAATCTTGGACACATGTCCCCTATGTCCCCAGAATAATTTTAGAGCATTATATTGATTAGTACCCTTCTTGTACAGTAGGCATATGTTATTGAGTTTCAGCGACTGATTCTGTATGAATGCTTCACTCACAAGAGGATGTGTTGTCAACATAGTCGTGTTGGCATTAAGACACTCCTCACTGCAAGCTCTGAATAAATTCTGGTCTGTTTGTTGGAGTCCTGCTAAATAATATCTGAAAATGGGCCGTTTTGAGACATGCAAGTAACAGGCATCTGTCTTTCAAAAAGTGGTTACATAATTAGCACCAGATGCTAAAACTGGTGACTGAAAAATGCAGAATATGATGAAGAAGATGAAAGAGGATTAGTCTCTGGAACTTGAGGGGGATCTGCCTGAAGCAAGTGTACCTGTGTTGGAGTTGGTAAATTGATATGGAAGTATGCTTTGCTATTCTCTCTCTATGTGCCCTTTCATCTCCTGAGCTGAAGGTATTCTGTTTGTGCTTTGGAATTATTTTCATATCACATTTTATACTTTTTTCAAACACATTTTTTCTTTGAAATAATTTTAAATACACAGAAATATGCAAAGATACTACAGAAAGCTTTATATATCTTTGAATTACATGCAATGTAATAGATTATGTAACCATGAGCCCTAAAAAATAGGTGGCACAAAACTATTTATTGAAGTATAGGCTTTTTCCATATTTTACTAGGCTTTTAAGTAAAAAATGTCATTTTTCTGTCCAGGATACCACATTGCATTGACTGTCAGGTGTATTATTTATTGCTGAATAATAAACTGTCACACACTAAGTGGCTCTTACTCACAGTTTCTCTGTATCATGAATCCAGATGTAGAGGATGGCCAAGGACGAGGTCTCAAGTGAAGGTTCAGGTGGGGAAGGCTCCTCTTCCAAGTTCGTGTGATTGTTGTTAGGAGTCAAGGCCCTGTGCTGGTTGAGATGACTTCACTGGTGAACTATTCCAAACCTGAAAATAATTAATAAATATCTATCACAAACTCTTCATAAAAACTTAACAGTAAAAGTGGAGAAGATATCACTTCCTGATGTATACTATTAGTTAGTTTACACTGACATTACAACTAAAGCAAGACATTTCACGAAAGAAAAATTAAGGCCAATATGTTTTATAAATAAAGGGTAAATGTCTTCAATAAAATGCTAGCAATACAAATCAGCAAATGTAAAAAGAATTATACACCATCAAAAAGGGTATTTGTCGCAGAAATGCAAATTTGGTTCAACATATAAAATAATTAGTGTCATGACCTATAAGAATAAAATAAAAAACAAAAGCCATATGATCATCTCAAAAGATGCAGGAAAGGCACCTGACAAATCCAAAATCCATTTCTGATAACAGTATACAACAAATTAAGCCTATAAGAAAAGTTTCTTTATTTCAAAGGGCATCCATGAAAAACTCAGTATCATCATAATTTAATTTAAAGGCTCAATAATAGCATAAACTTGGACATACAGATCAAAGGAATATAGTAGAACTGAATGTCCAAAAATTAATCTTTACCTTTATAGTCAAATGATTTTATAAGGTTGCCAAGCCAATTCAATACGGAAAAATATATTTGTAACAAATGTTGCTAGGACAATTGAATATCCACAAGCAAGTTGAACTTCTCACTCACATCTTATACATAATTGGCTCAAATTAATCATATATCCAAATGTAAGAGCTAAATAGACCAAACCCTTAGAAGATAATACAGAAATACATAATTTGGGTCTTAGCTTAAACAATAACTCCTATAATTTCTAAGTTATGATACTTAAAGCCGAAGAAAAGGAAATAAAAAAATGAATATATTTAACTTTGTGAGAATTAAAATCTTCTGAGACTCAAAGTACATAATTAAAATTAAAAAGATAATGCAAAGAATAGAAGAAAATCTTCACAATCACATAGCAGAAAAGAATCTATTAGCCACAATATATAAAATATTTTACAACTCAAAATAAAAAGGCAAATATCACAATCAAATTGGTGAACTATCTGAATAGACATGTATCCAAAGATACTATAGTCATGTCTAGTAAGCACATGATATGAGGCCTAAGCCTTTTGTCATTAGGAAAATGCAACTCTAAACAACCATGAGACACACTTCACAAATCTAAAGGGTATATTGCAAAAAAAAGTAAATTTAAAAAGGCAAAATACTTTGTGTGATTTTGGTCATGTGACACTCTGCAATGTGAAAAAGTAGAGAGATAATAAAATGTTTGGTATTTACTGGGAGCTTGGAAAAGAGGCAGGTCAAACTGGTGAGGTACAGCAGATTTGCTCTAGGCAGTGAAATTATTCTGGCATCATACTGTAATGATAAATACATGATTATATTTTCCAAATCCTAAATAACTTTATAATACAAAAAATGAACTTAAAATATACAAATTGAAAACCTTCTACAGTAGGTAGCAGATAGCATGGGGCTATACACATAATAGAATTAAATAACACATCAGTGAAATAACCTCACTGAATGGAGGGGGGAAAGCAGCTGACCCAAGGAACATAGCAAGTAAGTGGATATTCTGAGTCTAAAGGGTAAAGATTTATCCCTAAAAACTTTAGTTGGTAAAGTTCTTTCTCATGGCCATATACATTTCTAATTCTGAAACCACTTACACAAGTCTTCCGGATTATGTGATTAAATAACAGAAGCATCTTTATCACTGTTAGTGTGGTAGGCTATATACAAGTAAGCGGGAATAGGTGCACTGATTCACATGGTACTGGATTAGATCATGGGGTGCTGGAGGATTATTAGGAATTCATATTTAACTTAAAGATACAGATACATGATAAAATATTTATGTGTGCGTGTGTCTCTGTGTGTGTGTGTGTGAATCAGCATACACAGATGTATTTGCTCTGTCACCACACAAAATCACAAATCAACAGATGCCCCAGGAGCAATGAATATGTCAAGGGCCCAGATCTCCATTTCTAATTCAATTTTCCAATATAAAGAACTAGGTCTCTGTGAAAAAAAAAGTGGTTAATACCAGGCTTGTTAGGAAATCCACACAATTAGCTTAAGTACCTAGTAGTGCCAGAAAAAATAAAATGCCAAACAACAGTGCAAACAACTAACCAACCACATAACAACAGCGAAGCTTCATTATGGTAGTGTTTCAAAATGACAAACGATCCAACTGAAAGACCTTCCAATAGCCAACACTGCAACAATTTAAACAAATAAATGAAGTAGTAGAAGGAAAGAGTAAAACAAATATCCATGTTTGCATACTGACAAAAATGACTGCATAAATATAACGATTATTGGAGGAGAATAGACACTTTCAGGATGAAAGGTCCAAATAACTTTTGGTAAACATTCTGCTCATAAAGTGGAGCATTTTTTGTTTTGTTTGTTTTTTTTTTTTCAAGATGGCAGATTGGAGACTTTGTTAGTGTGCCTCACCTGCTTAGAAAGAGCAAAATAGTGTCTAGAGATTCACACTGTGAATTTGTATCCAACAATCACAGGAACTCAGCAGAAGAAGTGAAAGAACCTTTGGATACTTTGAAAGGAGCAGCAGGCAGCAACTTGCACCATGTGTCAGATGGACAACTGAGCCTTCAGAGTGCAAAAGGGGGAGACTCTGTGATACATTCCCACTGGGGTACCAGGCAATCGAGGTCACAGGGAAGCACCTTAACCCTGCCCAGCACTGGAGCTGACTTAGAGAGGAGGGGACCATGAAAGAAGGAGTGGCACCTGGGTGTGCTGCGTGTGCACTCCCAGATCCCAGCAGGGACAGAAGGAAGCTATTCCTGACCCTAACTCACAGAAGATCTTGCAGAAATCAGCGAAGTAACCCAGGCAGCAGTCATGCACTGGAAGAAGCTCCCAACTGAGGGAGAAGCTGACCAACTAAGATTTGTATTTGATCTAATATTGAGCAGAGGATGAACCCCTTAAGGCCTGAACCAAGGGGCATGCAGGAAGCTTTCTTGTGCCAGGGTCATGGGAGTTGGGTAGTGCTGCTTCACATGTCAAATCAAGGGGTGTGGCCTCAGAGCTACCGTTTCAGTTTCAGTCTCCAGTGGGAAGTCTTGCAGCCTGGGGCAGGTTTGTGTTCTCAGCCTAGACTGCCTGAGACTTAGCTGGCTATTGTGGGTGTTTGCCAGCAGAAGTCTGCATGTGTAAGACCTTCTGTGTCAAGGTTGTGGGAATTGACCTGCCTCTTGCTACCCCTCTCTCCATGTACAGACTCTCATGTGGCAGAGGGTGTTCTCCTCCCTGGAACACTATCCCAGTGGTCAGGGAACTGTCCACTGATCCCCATTGTGGCTGCTGCTTACACCCACACTTGGAGAGGCAGAGTATGGACTTTCCTGACCCAGCCCACACTCGGCTTTGCCCCTCTACCTGTCCTAGTAGCAGAACAGGGACTTTTCAGAGTTCCATGTCACTTCCCATCAGCTGACTACTTCCCCTGGGTAACAAAGGTTAAGCATAAATCCCACTACCGTGACTGCAGCTGGCTCTCTCCTGCAAGTGCCACCTTCTGGCCCACGGTCAACCAACACAGTCCATTACAACATCTGCTGGCACACTAACATGATACTGGTATAAATGTAGACATACAGACCAGAGGAACAGAACAGAGACCCCAGAAATGAAGCCAAATACTTACGATTAACTGATTTTCAACAGAACAGACAAAAACATACACTGAGGAATGAACACCCCATTCAATAAAACGTGCTGGGAAATAAGATAGCCACATGCAGAAGAATGAAACTGGATCCTTATCTGTCACCATATATAAAAATTAACTCAAGATGGATTAAAGACTTAAATGTAAATCACGAAACTATAAAGATTCTAGAAGAAAAACTAGGAAAAAATCTTCTGGACATTGGCCTAGGCAAAGAATGTTTGACTAAGACCCTGAAAGCAACTACAACATAAACAAAAACAAATAAATGGGACTTAGCGAAACTGAAAAGCTTCTGCACAGCAAAAGAAATAATCGACAGAGTAAAGAAACAACCTACAGAATGGGAGAAAATATTTGGAAACTGTCCATCCAACAAAGGACTAATTCAGAATCTACAAGAAACACAAACAAATCAGCAAGAAAAAAATAAATAACCCCATTAAAAAGTGGGGAGATGACATGAACAGGCAAAAGAAGATACACAGATGGCCAGCAAACATATGAAAAAAAAATGCTCAACATCACTAATCATCAGGAAATGCAAATTAACACCACAATGCGATACCAATCTTACCCTAGTCAGAAGGACCGTTATGAAAAAGTCAATAAATGATAGATATTGGTGTGGATGAAGTGAAAAGAGAATGCTTAGACACCCTTGGTGGGAATGTAAATAAGTACAACCTATATGGTAAACAGTATGGAGATTTCTCAATGAACTTTTAAAAGCAGAGCTACCATTCAATCTAGCAATCCCACCACTGGGCATGGACCCAAATGAAAGGAAGTCATTCTATCAGGCGCCACCTCCAGTCTTCCTGGACCCTGCAATTCGGGGGTTTCAGGCTCGGGACAAGTGCAGGGTTCTCCATAAAGGCAGCCTCGGTGGTGGACCCGACCCCTTGCAGTCCCACATGGAGGGAGCGGAGGGGCGCGTTCTGCAGCCTGCTGCACAGGATAAAAGGTAAATTCCACCTGGTGAGCAGAAGGCGCCTGTGGCAGCTCCGCTGGGGCTGGGGGAGTACAGGCAAGAGTGGCTGGTGGCCTGGGGCACAAGAGTCTGCGGAGCACATGCTTAGAAACCTGGGGCAGACAGGCAAAGGTGGTGGTCGCAGAGACTTTGGTTCAGGGGCTCAACACATCGGCCAGGGATGTGGCCCATCACCTAGTCTCTGGAAGCACTTTGTGCTCCTCACTCTGCTTCCTGTTACAAATCATGACAACATATTTCAGAGGACTTGGGGGAAATTCGCCCTCTTGGCACCGTCAGGTCGGTTCTCAGTGGCGTTCCCCCGGGGAAGGGAGGAAGTCCCCACAGATGGTGTGAAGGAGGGGTGCCCAATCTCGGGCTTGGCACCTGGATGAGCTCCACTTCCAGGCCCCAAAGCCCTTATTGCATCTGCTGCAGACTCCGTCAGACTGGGCATGGTGATCCAAGAGTTCACCCAAGTGAGAAATCTGGGTTAAGTTAGGTGTTGCTGCCCAGCGGGAGACCAGAGCCTGCCTTCTTCCTGGGCCTGAGTGACATGGCCACTGCCAGGGTTGGGGTCCAGGGAAGCCTGTTTCTGGTGTCACTGTGCTCTGTGCCAAGTAAGGAGAAATGTTTTTAAGGAGTTGACAACAACTCCTGAGAAAGCATTTCAGTGGTTACTGGAGGACTTGCACTCTGGAAATGCAGAGAACCCAGGACTGCTGCCAGGATTAACTGGGTGACTACACATGAGAGGGCAGACAGAGCCTGGCTCATTTCAGTACTCTGCATGGGTTAATTGCCACCATCAGCTGTGATGGGAACATGTGGTGATTGCTTCACAAGATGACAGTGGCCCTGAGGAGTCTGGAGACTGGGAGGTCCCAGATCAAGGCGCCAGCAGGTTTGGTGTCTGGTGACAGCCCACTTCCTGGCTCATAGTCAGTGGGTTTCTCTTGTGCTGGCATCTCTCTCACTCCTAGGCCAGGCTCCTTCTGCAACCAATCGTTAGCTGCCAACCCTTAAGGGCCAGGCAATACATTTGCAAATTACAACCTGGAACATCCAAGGTAGCAGGAAGAGAAAGAGCAACTTTTGTCTTGGCAGCCAAGCTTCATTGTTGGCTGGCACCCAATGTGCATTTCAGGTTTTTATGGTTCCTTGTCTGAGGTTATTGTAGCTGATTCCCAGGGTATTCTAATCTAAGAAGCAGTGAGTGAGCAGTGACTTAGAAGCAGTCAGTGAGCCTGAACTTTGCTAACTGGAAGGACTGGCTGTCCCCTCCCCTTACCTTCCAGTCTCTCTCCCTGACTGCCCTGTACAAGACAGCCCCACCTGAAATAACTGAAGGCACTTCAGTTCTGTGTTGCTTTTCCTTGCAAAACATGGGTAAGGTCTTAAAAAGATCCTGGAAGTGTGTCTCTGTGGCATGCATCGAGGTACGTATCCTTCCTTGAGGTGTGTTAGTTTCATCTTTCAGTACTCAGAGTTGTCTGCATAGTGCCAGGGAGGGAGGAGGTGCCAAACCCTGTGCTCAGCCAGGATGCCCTGGCCTGGCCACGCCTTCTGAGGCTTCCACAGACCTAAGAGGGACTAAGAGCTGGGGTCAAAATGTTCCTGTCACTGACGCCCTGCTTCCGGAAAGGAGATCCAGAAGGAAAAAGAAAAGATGTTGGGACCTTTTTTTTTTTCTTCTTTTCCTAGCCACATCCTTTGGGGGTTGGGATGGGACAAAATAAATGTATGTTCAAGAAGACAGTCTATGCTGAAAATGACATACAGTATAACCACCCAATGGATTCACCTTGCCTGCTGCCTAAAAGAGTGGATTTATCAAGACAGGAGAATTGCAATAGAGAAAGAGTAATTCACAGAAAGCCAACTGTGTAGGAGACTGGAGGAGTTTTATTATTACTCAAATCAGTCTCCCAGGACATTCAGGTATCAGTGTTTTAAAGGATAATTTGGTGGGTGGGGGAAGGCCAGTGAGTTGGGAGTTCTGATTGGTCAGATCAGAGATGGAATCACAGGGAGTCCAAGCTGTCCTCGTATGCTGACTCAGTTCCTAGGTGGAGGCCACAAGATCAGATCAGGCAGTTTATCCACCAGGGTTGTGCCAGCTGATCCATCAAGTGCAGGGGCTGCAAAATACCTCAAGCACTGATCTTTGGAGCAGTTTAGGGAGGGTCAGAATCTTGTAGCCTCCAGCTGCATGACTCCTAAGCCATAATTTCTAATCATGTGGCTAATTTCTTAGTCCTACAAACGCAGTCTAGTCTCCAGGTAAGAAAGAGGTTTGTTTTGAGAAAGTACTGTTACTGTCTTTGTTTTAAACTATAAGCTGTAAAGTAAGTTCCTCCCAAAGTTAGTTTAACTTTGCCCAGGAAGGAACAAGGACTGCTTAAAAGGTTAGAAGCAAGATGGAGTCGGTTAGGTTAGATCTCTTTCACTGTCTCAGTCATAATTTTGCAAAGGCAGTTTCAGCCAGGTGCAGAGGCTCACAGCTGTAATTCCAGTACTTTGGGAGGCAGAGGCAGATGGATCACTTGAGGGCAGGAGTTCCAGACCAGCCTGGCCAACAAGGCAAAATCCCATCTCTACTAAAAATACAAAAATTAACCAGGTGTGTCATGCCTGCAGTCCCAGCTCCTCCAGCGGCTGAGGCACAAGAATTCCTTGAATCCAGGAGGCAGAGGTTGCAGTGAGATGAGATTGGTCCACTGCATTCCAGCCTGTAGGACAAAGTGAGACCCTGTCTCTCTCTCTCTCTCTCTCTCTCTCTCTCTCTCTCTCTCTCTCTCTCTCTCACACACACACACACACACACACACACACACACACACACACAGTCATTCTATCAAAAAGACACTTACACTTCTAGGTTTATCACAGCACAATTCACAACTGCAAAAATATGAAATCAATCTAAGTGCCCATCAACCAATTAGTGGATAAAGAAAATGTGTGTGTGTGTGTGTGTGTGTGTGTGTATTACAGAATACTACTCAGCCATAGAAAAGAACAAAATAGTGTTTTTCAAAGCAATTTGGCCATTATCATAATTGAAGTAACTCAGGAGCAGAAAACCAAATACCACATGTTCTCACTTACAAGTTTGGGGTAAGCAATGGATATGCAGGAGCATGCAGAGGGGGATCATGGACATTAAAGATTCTGAAAGGAGGAGGGTTGGAGGTGAGTGAGGGATAAAAAATTACCTATGAGGTAAAATGTACACTTTTGATGTGACAGGTACACTAAAAGCCCCAGACTTCACCACCATACAATTCATGCATGTAACCAAAAACTACATGTAATCCCAAAGCCATTGAAATTTTAACAAATTTATTTCAAAGAAAAAGCAGTGGTGTATGATTCTCCCAGTATTGAGTGTGCATTGTATATAGTGACTTTTTTAATACACACAACATAAAAAGGGAGAAAAAGAATAATTTTACAGAAGAGATTTTTAGAACTAAAAGATTTTTATCCAGGTGATCAAATTAACATCAACAGTGATAGAGCCTGTTGACAGCTTGTGCCCTGGATATTATGTGATAGGAATAGTACTTTTCATCTGTATTCTTCCTCCCTTAAGCCCAGAAGTCCAGTCTCATCATGAGAGAAACATCAGAGAAATCCCAAATTAGAAACATCAACGGCATCAAAAACAAGGAAACTCTTAGAAACTATCACATTCAATGGAGCCTATGAAGCAATAATATCTAAATGTGATGACATATCCTAGAAGAGATCCTAAAACATAAACTTAAGATTAAGCAAAAACTAAAAAATCCGAATAAAGTATGTATAGTACTCAGTGACAATACATGATATTGGTTGCTTAATTTTGACAAATGTTTCACACTATGAGACTAATAATAAAGGACACTGTGCATGGAGTAAATGGAAACTCTATACTAGATTTGCAACTATTCTTAAAACCATAGAACATTTTTTTGTTGGTTTTTGTTTTTTCTTTTTTGTTTTTTTTCTGAGACAGAGTCTCCCTCTGTTGCCCAGGCTGGAGTGCAGTGGCATGATCTCGGCTTACTGGAACCTCCGCCTCCTGGGGTCAAGCGATTCTGCTGTCTCAGCCTCCCAAGTAGCTGGGATTACAATCGTCCACCACCGTGCCAGGCTAATTTTTTGTATTTTTATTAGAGACAGGGTTTTGCCATGTTGGTCTTGAACTCCTGACCTAAGGTGATCTGCCCGCCTCAGTCTCCTAAAGTGCTGGGATTATAGGTGTGAGCCACTGTGCCCGGCTTTGGAAAACCATTCTTTAAAACTTGTTTTTTTTTTTTTGTTGTTGTTGTTGTTGTTAATGTCACTCCCAAGCTTAAAAAAAACCAATGATTAGCAATATTGTTGATACCTCCTTTGTGCATCTCCTTAATTTCTCAGTTTTCCTTAAGCACTGAACTTAACTATATTGTGAATTGTCATTCCATACTTTAAAAATAGTTTTTCCTCTTTGAGTATTTCTGAATACTATATTCTTTAGGGCTTTTTTGTCTTCAGATTTAAGTGAAGTTATTTCATTCATTAATATTCCTAGTTTAATCATGAGAAAATATCAGCTAACACCATATCGTGTGACATCCTATTAAATACCTGACTGGTACCTTTCAAAAGGGTCAAGGTCATGAAAAAGAAGTGAAGGCCAGGAAACTGTTTCATATAGGAGAATACCTGATGTGTCAGGTAGACTCTAAGTTGGTGCCCATTTATCCCCACCTTCTCATATACACGACCTTCGACTGTAAACCCATCCAAGTGAGTCTAAGCAGGAATTGTGACTTGCTTTGAAACAATAGAATAGTGCAAAGGTATAGAAGTGTCACTTGGATTCTTATATATGATTATGATTTTGGTCTTGCTAGAAATGTCTCTCTCGATGGATTTTATGAAGCCATGTGACAGAAGCCCCCTTGGCAAGGCACTTTATTTAGCCAATGGCCAACAGCCAGGAAGGTAAGAGGCTTTTTGTGCAATAGACTGTTCTACAGTTGGAAATATTATATTTAAAACTAACCACACTGCCCAAAGAAGTTTACAGACTAAATGCCATTCCTACCAAACTACTAATGACATTCTTCGCAGAACTAGAAGAAAACTGTGTTAAAATTCATATGGAACCAAAAAACAGCCGCAATAGCCAAGGTAATCATAAACAAAAAGAACAAAGCTGGAGGCATCATGTTACCTGACTTCAAACTATACTACAAGGATAAAGTAACCAAAAAGCATGGTGCTGGTACAACAGCAGGCACATAGACCAGCTGAACAGAATAGAGAGCCTATGACCATCTGACCTTTGACAAAGCTGACAAAAACAAGCAATGGGGAAAAGACTCTCTATTCCATAAACAGTGCTGGGAGAACTGGCTAGCCATATGTAGAAGACTGAAACTGGACCCCTTCCTTACACCATATAAAAAATTAACTCAAGATGGATTAAAGGCTTAAATGTAAAACCCTAAATTATAAAAACCCTGGAAGACAACCTAGGCAATACCATCCTGGATATAGGAATAGGCAAAGATTTCATAACAAAAACTCTGAAAGCAATTGCAACAAAAGCAAAAATTGGCAAATGTGATCCAATTAAACTTAACAGCTTTGCGCAGCAAAAGAAACTATCAGAGTGAACAGACAAAGTATAGACTGGGAGAAAATATTTGCAAACTATGCATCTGATGGAAGTATAATATCCAGCATCTATAAAAAACTTAAACAAATTTACGAGAGAAAAACAAACAACCGCATTAAAAAGTAGGCAAAGCACCGGGCGCGGTGGCTCACGCCTGTAATCCCAGCACTTTGGGAGGCCAAGGCGGGCGGATCACAAGGTCAGGAGATCGAGACCATCCTGGCTAACATGGTGAAACCTCGTCTCTACTAAAAATACAAAAAATCAGCCAGGTGTGGTGGCAGGTGCCTGTAGTCCCAGCTACTTGGGAGGGGACAGGAGAATCGCTTGAACCCGGGAGGCGGAGGTTGCAGTGAGCCGAGATCGCGCCACTGCACTCCAGCTTGGGCAACAGAACAAGACCCGGTCTCAAAAAAAAAAAAAAAGAAAAGAAAAGAAAAGTAGCAAAGGATAAGAACAGACAATTTCCAAACAGGAGATACATGCGGCCAACAAGCATATGAATAAAAGCTCAATATCATTGATCATTACAGAAACGCAAATCAAAACCACAATGAGATACCATCTCATACCAGTCAGAATGGCTATTACTAAAAAGTCAAAATAACAGATGCTGGTGAGGTTGCAGATAAAAAGGATCACTTACACACTGTTGGTAGGAGTGTAAGTTCATTCAACCATTGTGGAAAGCAATATGTCATTTCCTCAAAGAGCTAAAATCAGAACTACCATTCAACTCAGCAATCCCATTACAGGGTATACACCCAGAGGAATAGAAATCATTCTTCCAAAAAGACACATTCACATGAATGTTCACTGGAGCACTACTTACAAGAAAAAAGACATGGAATCAACTTAAATGCTTATCAATGACAGGATGGATAAAGAAAATGTGGTACATATATATCATGGAATACTATGTAGCTGAAAAAAAACAGAGTCATGTCTTTTACAGGAACATGAATGGAGCTAGAAGCTATTATCCTTAGCAAACTAACACAGGAGCAGAATACCAAATTATCACATATTCTCACTTTTAAGTGGGAGCTAAATGATGAGAACTCATGAACACAAAGAACGGAACAAAGGTCACTGGGGCCTACTTGTAAGTGAAGGGTAGAAGGAGGGAGAGGAGCAGAAAAAGTAAATATTGGGTAGTAGGCTTAGTACCTGGGTGAAAAAATGATCTGTACAATAAACCTCCATTACACAAGGTTACCTATATAACAAAACCATACCTGTATCCACAAACCTAAATTTAAAGATATAAAGTTAAAAAATCAAAATCATATAAAAACTATAAAAAATACTAAACTAAGCTACTTTCAAATAAAGTTATATTGTTCACAGTTACTGTATCTTATAATAACAAATAATCCTAATTCCTTTCTCCTGTCCTTTGCATTATTGCTGATATCCACTTCATATATATATGTGTATATATATATACATATACACACACACAAACACACATGCACATGTGCATATATCTGTACACATATATACTTATACATAAGATATATGCATAGGCATATATTATTTAATAATTTTTCTATTTTCAAGAAATTGTTTTTTCTTATAATAAACTAAGGATATAAAAATGTTAAACCAACAGAAAGATAAAATTATATATAACTCATATTTTAAGGAATGTGAGAGATGGAAAAATATAAAATGCTCAATGAGAATCACAAAAGGCAGAAAATGAATGGAAGATGAAAATAGGAAGAAGGAACAAGGACAACAAATCAAAAGCATTGACAAATATGATAAATATTAATCCAACTGTATCACTTACCACTTTGAATGTCAATGGTCTAACTGCACCAAGTAAAAGACACAGATTTACAAAATGAATCAAAAAACAAGACACAACTGTTATTTATAAGCCCAACCCAAATATAAAGACAAATAAACGTAAATGAATGGAACAAAATGTACGATGCTAACTCTAATCAAAGTAAACAAGAAGAGCTATATGAATTACAGGCAGAGCAGACTTCAAAGCAAGAAAAGTCATCAGGAATAAAGAAGGGCATTACATAGAGATGAAGAGCCATTCTTCCAAGAAGATGTCCTAATTCTTAAAGCCTATGAGCCTGATAACAGAGCGTAAACTATGAGGCAGAAATCAACAGAACCACAAGGAAAAAGATGAATTCAGTATTATAGTTGGAAACGTTAACACCCTATATCAGATACGGACAGATCTAGCAGGCAGTAATTCAGGAGGGAAAAGCTGAACTCAACAGCACCAACAAGCAACTGGGCATAACTGACACCTACAGTCTCCTTCCCTCAACTACTCCAGAGGACACATTCTTCTTAAGCTCACATGGAATATTCAGCAAAATGTGCCACATTCTGAGACAAAAAATACCCCAACAATTTTTAAAAAGTAAATCATACAATGTCAGCTCTAAGACCACAGTGGAATTAAAATAGAAATCAAAGGATGAATGGAATGATAACTGTAATATCCCAAAATGCATTGAGATTAAACAACACACTTCCATATAATATATGGGTCAAAGAAGATATCACCAGAGAAATTTTTTAAATTAACTAAATGAAAATAAAAACACAATTTATCAAAATTTGTAGGATGAAAGGAAAGCAGAACATATAGGCAAATAAATACCATTAAACACATACATAGGAAATGACGAAAAGACCAAAAATCTGTCATCTGTGTTTCCACCTTTGGAACCTAGAAAAGGAAGAATATATTAAATCTAAAGTCAGTAAAAGAAAAGCGATAACGTTGTTAACAGACTAAAACAAAGGAAAAGTTAAAGCAACTGGATTTCTCAAACACCTATTATCTTAATAGTTCTCAGAACACAGAGGCACCCAAAATTAACAGGGCAAACAAAGCACCCCAACACCCCCCTTGCTTACGGGCATGCAGCCATGACCCCCTCAGAAATGGGAACCTCAAGATTTAGAAATGATCAGTCTCGGGCTACTGAGGCCGGGCAGTATCATTTCCTCCGAAGTCACGCTGTACATTTTAGAATAGCTAAATAAAAGATTTTTAGTGTTCTCACCATAAAGTATTAGCTGGTGAGTTGATGCCCATGTTAATTAGCTTGATTGAATCTTCCCCAATGAATACAAGAATCAAAATATCACACTGTTATCCATAAATATACGCAATGTGTCAACTAAAAATAAAAGTTTTGGTAAATTCTTTATCTATGAATAATTCACAAATAGGAAACGTAGGTAAGTAACAATTGTTATGTCCATAATATAAAAGGGCATATGTGACAGAAAGCAAGCTTTTTAAATGTACGTTACGGTCTGGGAAACACGGAGAAATCCTGACGTTTGAAGAACAAACAGGGACGACGACACAGGCAGGCACCGCCTCAGGAACAAGCGCGCGTTCCGGGCGAAGCCACCGGAAAGCCCAGCGCAGACCCCTCAGACATCCGCCCTGAGTTCTCCTGTAGATCTCACCGCCCTCTCCCCCTGTCAGCCGCGCCCTCTGATCACCGCCCTCCACCTTCCTCCCTCACTCCCTGTCAGCCTTGCCCTGCACCCGCGGCCCTCACGCCCCACCTGGGCCTGGCTCCCGCCCCCAAGCCCAGCCTGCGTGGCAGCCTCCGGTTCCCCTCACTGCGCAGCTGCGACCCCCGCACCCGCACTTCCCTTCAGGCTGCTCCCAGCCTCACCTGTGTGGGCGCCAGGTGGAGAGGAGTCCGCAGATCTGAGTTTTCTCCTCCATGGATCCCACCACCTGCAAAAGCACTGAGGTGGCAGAAACCTGCCCTGGCGGGGAAGCGAGGGTCTGAGCGATAGAGAAAAGGCCAGGAACAAGGGCAGCCCCATGAGCCCTGCAGTCAGGCAGCCGGGGGTCCTCTTTGCTCTTCTCCACCCTCCTTTCTCCCAGACCCACGCCCCCCTGGCCCAGCCCAGGAGCCTCCCCAGGGGACAGGGCCCACTCACTCCTCAACGTCCTTCCCATAGGCTGAGCTCATGGGCTGGGGTAACATCTCAGGGAACCAAACCCAGACATTCGAATCCCTCCCCACAGAGCGCAGTCCTCAGGGAGCGGCCCTCCCTGCCTCCCCTGCCCAGTCCCTCCGTGGTCTGCCCTTCCTGCTCCTGCGTCCTCACCAATTACTCATCCCAGCGCTCCTTCCAATCCACCGCCCTCTTCTCATGGCCTGGCCTGTGCCAGGCACACAGGTTTTCCTCCTCGCTTTCCCTCCCCTGTCTCCTGGACCCACTGCGCCTCACTCTCCAGCATCTCCTCCAATGTTCCTCCTCCTGGAGGCTTCCCCTGTCCATCCCATCCCAGGCCTGAAACCTGTCCTCTCAGTTCCCAAGGGCAGCTCTTCCACCTTACAGTTTAATTTTTGTCAAGTTTTCTGAAACCCTGTTGGACAGAAGCATCACAGAACATGGCAACTTTGTCTATGGTGTCTCTGAGCCCCACACATGTCCTGGACAGAAAGCAACTCTGAAAATTCTCTGGTAATCTATAAAAGTATAAATCACTTTTAAAAGATTATTATCTGATACAAGAAAATAAATTGAAGTTCCCATTTCTTTTCTACAGACGATAATCGGAAAACATTTGCTGTGTGCAGTTGTATGCACAGATTTTCGGAGTGGCTTTTTTTTTTTTTTAACTGAAGAAGCAATTTTGGTATTTACTCATCAAAGAGAAAGAGAAGAATACACACCTATATTATGAGCCATAAGTATAAGGAAATGTCTTGCAGACGTTTACAAATACTATGTAGAAGGAATCAGAGATTCAAGCCAGTATCTATAAATTTCAGGTAAAAGAAAAACAATATGCTGAAGTTTATTCGTGCATATTAACAAAATAACTGGTCTTTGTGTGCTGGAAGGGAGTCTTGGTATTCCATGTATTCAAATCAATGCTTTTGAACCTTGCAAATTAGAACAAACTAAGCCATATACAAAACCCGTTTTAAGTATGAGTCTCTAGCAAATTTTGTCTTGTGGTTCCTAGCAAACTTTCTGCACCTTTTCAACTAGAAGTATTTCAGAGGAAATTTGTGGAAAACAATTATAGAGAATGGGTGACATTTCCATTAATTTAATAAAAAGTGATAAAATATAAGAATAAAGATATTTTGAAAAATGATTATGAATAACTAAACAAAATAAAAGGCATTAATACACACTACAAAAATTTAAATTTGGTTATACATGATGTTTATGTGATGATAAAAAAGTACATTGACACAGAAAGGGTCAAAGGCCTTTGCACACCAAAACAAACACTGTTTCATTTGTTCAAAACAAATACTGTGTCATTTGTTTTCAGACAGCAAACAGAATGATTCTTTGACACACTCAGTCTTTCCAAGAAATAACCGAATTCCCCAACCAACACCAGAAGTAGAGCAAGAAAATGTTGGTGTTTCCCATGAAGATACCACAGAGACAGGCTCAACTCTCCTGCCTCTACTTAGGCACTGTCTTGGATAGGCGTGGTCTGGAGGAGGTAAACCTTGTCTAGTGAGTTGTCTGTGTGTGTGCACGAAACACCCAGGGATGTTTGTTTTGGAAAAATACAAAAGTATAAATTTGGTTGTACATGATGGCTATGTGACCAACAAAAGAGTGTTTCCTTGTGTTTAATACACAGTGTTAAACACATTTGTACACAAAACCAAAAACCAAGATGTAACATTACAGTGCCAGGACTGAAGGGGAAATGTGCCATTGGTCAGAAAGAAGAATGATTATTTAACAAATTCATGCTTATATAAAATAACTGAATTCCCCACCCCACCCAACAGGGAGCTCCTCCCCTTGTGCATGCAGACCCCACAGAGAGGTTCTGATCTCAGGGCTCCCTGCTGGTCCTGCCTTTGATGTGCATTGTCTGGAGGAGGAGACCCATGTCCACAGCATCTTCTACAGCAAGGCAGGAGGCACCCGGGGCTGCATCTCCAGGTTTTCCCACCACTTGCTGTTGTTGAAGGTATGAAATACACAAACTGAAGAGTGGTGTTCATGGATCTTATAAGATTAACAAAGACATTACAGACATAAGAGACAACAATGATATTCTGAAACTCTAAAGCCACTGATTGATTCAAAGACCAGCTGAGAGTATCGGTGTACGTGAAAGGCATGGAGATTTTTAATCTTTTTTCACTTCATTATGGAAAAGCACAGTCATTAGGAGAATGGTCACAAAATATGGTATTAAATGAAGTCTGTTAGCAACTAAGAAAGTGTTGCATTTGCACAGAGACAGAGGAATAAACCAATGAAAAAAGAAAACAGCATAAATACAGACGTGTATATATGAACAAATCATTTGTAAGTCAATAAATGGGGACAGATTAATTTTTCTAAAACTATTCAAAAAACTGAATATTCACAAGGGAATTAAAATCTGACCTTTAACTTCATTTTACACACAAAATCAGGTGGATCACAGACATATATATATATTTAGTACACTAGGTAGAACACATAAGAAAATATCTTCAGGACTATGTGGTAGGGTAAGATACCTGAAACTGGACCTAAAAAGCACTAATTATATAAATAAACTATTCTACATATTCTACATAGTTGACTTCAGCAATGACTTTGGAGACAGACTGAATCAAACTCAAAGCACTTTTAATCCTTTCATGTAGTGCTTAGTCTCAGATTCAGAACTGGCCCGTGGCAGTGGTAACAGTGCTCACTTCTTGAGATGTCAGGTGGGTTTGTATAAAATAATATATAAAGCATGTAGTATAGTATCACATCTATACATATCATTAAGACTAATTTTTATAATAAATTGTGAGATTTATCTTTTAGATTTACATATCAGAATGAAATAATAAAACCACTAATAAATAATGGAGCAAATATTTCTAATTAGAGTTTTATAATTATTTTAAAAACTTTTTTTGACTAACACGTTTATATTTGTCTTATATCATTCCTATCATTACATGAGACAGAACATATATGCAAAATACATTTACAAAGGTATTGCTAACACTTATTTCATTCAGAACAAACTCTCTGAATCACTTTCAACTCATCTTGTCCATGATTTTCCCCACAATATCATCATCTGTGCTAATCACAAGCACTGATAGTGCTGCATTTCTCATGGGACTCCTATGCTACTCTATGTAAGTTTACCTTTCCAGTCTCCTGACAACCCTTCTGTAAGTTTTGATGCTTGATATAATTACCCAACGATGTCTTTGGGGAGGTTTAGACCAAGTTCGTGTGTGTGTGCCCGAGGACAACCACATCATGACTGCTTTCTGGCAATAATGTTATAACCCTTTCAAATAGAAGATGCATCTCTCTTTAAAAGATGTTAAAATGTGTACCAAAGAATTGTTTACACACTTTTTCTCTGTGACTGCCCACTTCTCAGTGTTAAATCATGGTGGCTGAGGCAGGAGAATCGCTTAAACCCTGGTGGTGGAGTTTGCAGTGAGCCGAGATCGCACCACTTCACTCCAGCCTGGGCGAAAAAGCGAACTCCGTCTCCGTCTCCAAAAAAAAAAAAAAAAAAAAAAACATGGTGGCAAGTCTGCTATGTTTTAGTCTGTAATTAACATTCTTGTATATATGTTCACATTAATTTATCAACTCTATTTACATTCTACCTAGTTATTAGAGATATTAGACTTATTAGTGAATTGCTGTAATTGTTTTATAAACTATGGTTCAAGAAATCTATTGATGAGGAAGATATAAATTGTAGAGAGACACTTGAAATTTTTCCTGAAGTGTTAGCTTTCTAAAGACTAAGCAAAATCTATATTTAAAAAATTTGTGTCCTAAAATTAGAAATATTAGCAATGATCCTTGCAAGCTACATTACAAATTCAATTCTTTAATCCATTACAAATTCAATTCTTTAATCTATAACATTCTTGATCTGTGTTTTTCTTCATTCTCATTCACCCTTTTAATTACACAAATAGTGATAACACATAGTCACTGTAGAAGCAAATGCATTGTGATCCTCATAAAATGCTTTGTTCTGTCCCCTTGCTACTCTGGCAAACTCTACTTTTGGACACTAGGATATTGAAATTAGTTTTCCTGTTTCCCTGGGAAAATATTAAGTGAAGAAGAAACTCATACAATTCATAATTTAGGACTTTGACTGAAATTTCACCTATAGTTTTAAACTGCAGGAAGGTTGAATTGCATGAACATGAAGTAATGATGTTAAATATATGAGCCATTCATCCATTGAACTACAACTCCTAATCAGGCTAGAGTGTGGAGACAGCATGTTGGGATGTTTGTCTTATATTGTGGTCTAACACTTGGGTTTGTTTGCAATGACATCTTTTTTTAGAATTGTGGTGGCCTTTGTGAATTTAGTGGCTTAGTATATTGTGGGAAATCATGCCTTCCATGCTGTTAAAGCACTTGTTGGGCACTCAGTGCTCAGCACTCTGTCCTTTGTGTCCATGATAATATGGCAGTAGAGTTTTGTGTATAGTGCCTGTTTTCCTTTAAACTTGAGAACTCAGAGCTCAATTATTGTGACCACCATGTGGTAGTCCTCATAACTCATGTCCAGGTCTAACTGTGGCTCATATGTGTCACTCTGGCCATTTTTGAGTCATTTATTGGTGGGCAGAATATTCACAGTATGCATCATAATAGATCAAAAAGTATGCATTAAAATGAAGAGAAACAGAAGATCTGTCATTTAAGTATTGTACTATAGTATCTTCAGTTAAAATTTAAAAAATGGAATAAACCTCCTTTAAGATGTCAAATTTAAAAGAGGAGTCATGTCTTAAAGAGTAAAGTATATGGAACTTGGAAGACTTGGAAGGTTTCTTTAAGTACAGATGCTCAAATAACAGCACCTAAATCACTTCTATGCTGATATCAGAAGTGAAAAATGTGGTCGAGGTCAGTCATATCTCCCACTCTAGGTCCCAAGGCTGCAAGATCTCATTTTCTCATATAAGCTATCAATGTGCTATAGAGAATATGCCCCATGTTTACAGACCATCATAAAGGCAATAGTCTTGGCTTTGTCTATGTCTGTGTGAGTGCAGCATGCAGACTCATGGCTTGGGAGGCTTTGTAGGCATGGTTCTTTGGCACAACCCTGATGCTAACACCGCAGAGTGCTGTGAACTATCAACAGGGACCTATGTGGGGGACAGCTGGACAGTTCTTCCTGCTGTGAGATTCTTTGTTTAGCCAGAACACGTGCAGAGTCATCATTTAGCCTGGGTCCATCTCTTAGATCACTGCATGGTGGGGGGAGATCTGTTACATACTGTTTTTTCTTGTATCTACTCAGCTTTCTCCAGCCATACAAAGCATATACTGACTCACTCACATGACTTCACCTGCCAAAAACCAGTTGTCTACAGACTCATATCGAGGTCTTAGTAAGCAAGCACTGTCATCAACCACCATATTTAGAAGCATTGTTTGTGTGCCCTACTCACCTGCTGCCAGGATGACATTTATTCTGTGGTCTTTGACCTTGGAAATGGACAATATAATTCCAAGATGTGAAGAGCAACAGAATATATGGTCCCAAATAATTCATGACGAGAGAAATAGAAATTATCACAGTGATCTGATAACCAGTTGAAGAACAAATCCCTGTACCAAGGGAAATAAAACACTCTCCTGATTGTAGAAATACAATTTGTGTTCCCTGTCACTGACATTTTGCAATATCAGCTTCTAATGTCTAGCAGTCATTTTTTCCCGAAAGGCTTTAGTGGAATTATGTGAATAAACTGCCAGACAATGCCTGAAAATGGGGCATTCTGGGATATATGAGGAAAAGGCGCCTCTCTCTGAAGAAGTGGTTACTGACACTTAAAATGTTCCTGGATAATGAGTAGCATGATTTCAAAGACAAAAATGGATGAGAGTCCCCAGAGCTAACTGTGTTTAACTGAAGCAGGTGCACCTGGGTTCCGAATGGTGGATAGATTAGGAAAGCTGCACTGCTGACCTTTCCCTACTTGCCCAATGCATCTCCTGAAACCAAGTTAATGTGCTTATGTCTTTTTGTTGGCTTTTGTTTTGCACCAAAATATTATTTTAAAATTATTTTGAAATCATATTTGACTTACAGAAGGAGGTATATATAGTGCAGAGAGTTTCATATACCTTTCAGCTTAAAGGAATGTTAACACATTATATAACCATAGACTATTCATGAAAACTGAGAAATTGACAGTGTTATAAAACTATCAATGGAACTACAGACTTTCTTAATAGTTTTCTTCAGGTTTCTAATAATATCACTTTTCTATTCCAGTATCTAATCTAGGATACCACATTACATTTAATGCCAGGTGTATTACTTAGTTATTGTTGTGTAACAAATTCCCACACAGCTGAGTGGCTGAAAAGCACATACACATTACTCACAGCTTCTCTTGGTCAGGAATCTAGATGTAGAAGATGGCCAAGGCTGAAGTCTCCCCTGAAGGCTCACGTGGGGAAGGATCCTCCCCAGGCTCACATGATTGTTGTTAGGATTTAATTCCCATTCCATGTTAAGATGACTTCACTAGGAAATTATTTCATACGTTTAAAGAAATAATACAAATTCATTATGAATTCTCTAAAAACATTAAACAACAGCAATGACAGTGGTGAAGAGATCACTTCCCAATGCACACTATGAGGTACTTTATCCTTGTACCACAATTAGACCAAAACATTTCAAGAAAGTAAAATTAAGAACAATATGCCTTATGAATAAAGAGGCAAAAAACAACCCCATCAAAAAGTGGGCTAAGGATATGAAGAGACATTTGTCAAAAGAAGACATTTATGCAGCCAAAAGACACACGAAAAAATGCTCACCATCACTGGCCATCAGAGAAATGCAAATCAAAACCACAATGAGATACTATCTCACACCAGTTAGAATGCGATCATTAAAAAGTCAGGAAACAACAGGTGCTGGAGAGGATGTGGAGAAATAGGAACACTTTTACACTGTTGGTGGGACTGTAAACTAGTTCAACCATTGTGGAAGTCAGTGTGGTGATTCCTCAGGGATCTAGAACTAGAAATACCATTTGGCCCAGCAATCCCATTACTGGGTATATACCCAAAGGATTATAAATCATGCTGCTATAAAGACACATGAACATGTATGTTTATTGTGGCACTATTCAAAATAGCAAAGACTTGGAACCAAGCCAAATGTCCAACAATGATAGACTGGATTAAGAAAATGTGGCACATATATACCATGGAATACTATGCAGCCATAAAAAAGGATGAGTTCATGTCCTTTGTAGGGACATGGATGAAGCTGGAAACCACCATTCTCAGCAAACTATCACAAGGACAAAAAATCAAACACAGCATGTTCTCACTCATAGGTGGGAATTGAACAATGAGAACACATGGACACAGGAAGGGGAACATCACACACCGGGGCTGTTGTGGGGTGGGGGGAGGGGGAGGGATAGCATTAGGAGATATACCTAATGTAAATGACGAGTTACTGGGTGCAGCACACCAACATGGCACACGTATACATATGTAACTAACCTGCACGTTGAGCACACGTACCCTAAAACTTAATGTATAATATAAAAATAAGAAAAAAAACACTTAGAAAAATTAAAAAAAAGAGGCAAAATTCCTTTAGGAAATAATAGCAAAACAAATCAGCAACACGCAAAGACTATTATAAACTATGGCTAAGGGTATTTCCTCAGGAATGCAAATTTTGTTCAATATACAATTCATGCACTGTATTAATGGAATAAAGCACAGAACCTACACAATCATCTCAAAGACACCTAATAAGCACTTGACAAATCAAAAACACATTCATGATAAAGATATGCAGCAAATTAGGACTATAAAGAAAATGTCTTCACTTTAAAGCATCCAAAAAAAAAAAACCCTCACATGATATAAAAGTTTTCTGAAAGGCTCAATACTTTCTCCAAGATTAGAAATAAGACAAGGAATTTCATTCTGGCCACAATTCTTCCCCACATTATGCTAGAGGATGTAGCAAGGACAATTAGTCTAGAAAAATGAATATAAGATATCTAGTATAAAAGAAAGTAAAACTCCGTTGGCAATTGACATGATTTGTGTATAGAACATCAAAATGACTCTAATAAAATAGAATGCAAATTAAAATATAAGTTCAATACAGTCCCAGTACACAAGGTCAATATATAGAAATATGTACTTCTATATACTAGAAATTAACAAATTAAAGAAAAAACTCAGAAACCCATGCTATTTAAAATAGCATCCAAAAGGAAAAATACATAAGAATAAATTTAACAAAATACACGTACGACATGTATATTGAAAACTGTAAAATATATTAAATGTAATTAATAAACTTCTATAAAAACAGACAATATTGAATGATCATTGATTAAAAGGCTTGATATTATTAAGTTGACAATACTTTTTATCTGGCTCTATATATTTAATGCAATTTCCATGAAAATCCCAGGTGACCGTTTTTTCACTAACTTGTCAAACAGATTTTAAACTGTATATATAATGCAATAGAGAAGAGATAAAATAATTTTGAAAAAAAAACAGAATTTGTAAAATAGACTCATACTTTCTGATTTTAAAACTAAAGACAAAGCCATACTAATTAAGATGTGTGGTGTAGACATACGGATAAATAGAATAAAATTGAATATCAAAAAGTTAACCTTTACATTTATGGTCAAATAATTTTACAAGGGGTCCAAGTAAATTCAATATGGAAAAGTACTTTTTTAAATAAATGGATTCTGGGACAAGTTGACATCATCGACATCAACAGGCAAGTTAAACTCCTCCCTCACAGTATATGCATAAATAGTTCAAATTAGTCACTGATATGGTTTGGACTTGTGTTCCTGCCCAAATTTCATGCCACATTGTAATCCCCAATGTTATAGGAGGGGCCTGGTGGGAGGTGATTGGATAATGGGGGAAGATTTCCCCTTGCTGTTCTCATGACAGTAAGAAAATTTTCATGAGATATCGTTATTTAAAAGTGTGTAGGACCTCACCCTTCTTTCTCTTCTTCCTTCTCAGGCCATAAAAGATGTGTCTGCTTTCCCTTCTCCTTCTGTCATGATTGTAAGTTTCCTGAGGCCTCCCCAGCCATATTTCCTCTACAGCCTGCAGAACTATGAGTCAATTAAACCTCTTTGCTTTATAAATTACCCAGTTTCAGTTAGTTCTTTATAGCAATGCAAGAACAGGCTAATACAGAAAATTGCTACTGGGAGTGGGGCATTGCTATAAAGATACTTGAAAACATGGAAGTGACTTTGAAACCGGGTAATGAGCAGAGGTTGGAACAGTCTGGAGGGGTCAGAAAAAGAGAGGAATATGAGGAGAAGTTGCAAACTTTCCAGAGATTGGTTATATTGTTGTGACCACAATGCTGATAGTGACATGAAGTCCAGGCTGAGGTGGTCTCAGATGGAGATGAGGAACTTATTGGGAACTAGAGTAAGGGTCAACTCTTCCGTTATGTTAGCACAGAGACTGGTGGCATTGTGCCCCTGCTCTAGGGATCTGTGGAACTTTGAATTTGAGACTGATGATTTAGGGTATGTTGTGGAAGAAATTGCTAAGCAGCAAAGTGTTCAAGATGTCATCTCGCTGCTTCTAACAGTGTATTGTCATAGTGTGAGCAAAGGGATGCTATGAAACTAAAACTTATATTTAAAAAACAGGCAGAGCATAAAAGTTTAGAAAATTTGCAGTCCAGCCATTTCGTAAAAAAGAAAAACCTGACCAGGTGCTGTGGCTCATGCCTGTAATCCCAGCACTTTGGGGAGCTGAGGTGGGTGGATCACAAGGTCAGGAGTTCAACACCAGCCTGACCAATATGGTGAAACCGTGTCTCTACTAAAAATACAAAAATTATCCACGCATGGTGGCACATGCCAGTAGTCCCAGCTACTCAGGAGGCTGAGGCAGAAGAATTACTTGAACCTGGGAGGTGGAGGTTGTAGTGAACTCAGATTGCACCACTGCACTCCAGCTTGGGCAACAGAGTGAGACTCCATCTCAAAAGAAAAAAATAGAAAGAAAAGGAAAACAAAAAAAAGAAGAATCCATTTTCTGGGGAGGAACTCAAGCCAGCTGCAGAAGTTCGCATAAGAGAAGCCGAATTTTCATAGCCAAGACAATAAGGAAAATCCCTCAAAGCCACTTCAGAAACCTTCCCAACAGCCCCTCACATCATAGGCACAAAAGCCTAGGAGAAAATAATGGTTTCAAGGACCAAGCCGAAGGCTTTGGTGCCCTGTGCAACCTTGGGCAACTGCTCCCTGTGTCCCAGATCCTCCAGCTCCAGCTATGACTAAAAGGTCCCCAGACACATATCAGGCCACTGCTCCAGGAGGTGCAAGCCATAATCCTTGGCCGTTTCTCCACATGGTGTTAAGCCTGAAGGTACAAAGAGGGAAAGAGTTGAGACTTGGGAGCCTCTGCCTAGATTTCAGAGAATGCATGGAAATGCCTTGATGCCCAGGCAGAAGTCTGCTGCAGTGATGGAGCCCTTAGGGAAAACCTGTACTAGGACAGTGCAGAGAAGAAGTATAGAGTTGGAGCCCCCACAAAGAGTCTCCACTGCGGGCCTAGTGGAACTGTGAGAAGAGGGCCACTGTCCTCCAGAACCCAGAGTGGTATATCCACCAACAGCTTGCACTATGTGCCTGGAAAAGCCACAGGCACTCAATGCCAGCCCTTGAGAGCAGCCGTGGTAGCTGAGCCCTGCCAAGCCAGAGGGGCAGAGCTGCCCAAGGCCTTGAAAGCCCATCCTTTGCATCAGTGTGGCCTGGATGTGAGATGCAGACTCAAAGGAGATCATTTTGGAGCTTTAAGATTTAATGACTGCCCTGCTGGGTTTCAAACTTGCATGGGGCCTGTTGCCCCTCTCTCTGTTCTAGCTGATTTATAACTTTTGGAATGAGGGTATTTACCCAATGCCTGTACTCCCATTGTATATTGAAAGTAATGACTTTGCTTTTGATTTTACAGGCTCATGGGTAGAAGGGACTTGCCTTATCTCTGATGAGACTTTGGACTGTGGACTTTTGAGTTAATGCTGTAATGAGTTAAGATATGGGTGACTATTGAGAAGGAATGATTGTATTTTGCAATATGAGAAAAACATGATATTTAGGAGGGGCCAGGGGCAGGATGATATGGTTTAGATTTGTGTCACCTCCCAATCTCATGGTAAACTGTAATCTCCAATGTTGGAGGAGGGGCCTGGTGGGAGGCGACTGACTCATGAGGGTCGATTCCCCCTTGCTGTTCTTGTGATAGTGAGTTATCACAAAATGTGGTTGTTTAAAACTGTGTGGAAATCCCTCTTCTATCTATTCCTCCTTCTCCATCCATGTAAGATGTGCTTGCTTCCCCTTTGCCTTTCACCATGATTGTAAGTCTCCCCAGTCATGCCTCTTATACAGCCTGTAGAACTGTGGATATATTATACCACTGTTCTTTATTAATTACCCAGTCTCAGGTAGTTCTTTATAGCAGTTTGAGAACAGACTAATACAATCGTACACCTAAATAGCCAAAACTAAAAACAAAAACAAATTGTTTAACAAAGGTTAAACAATGGTTTCTAAGATATGACAACTAATGCACAAGAGGAAGGAGAAAATAGATATATTGAAACATCACTAATAAAATATATCATAATTGAAAGTACATAATAAAAGAATAAAAACAATTTAAAAATGGGAGAAAAGTCTTTGTATGTCAAATAGCCAGTAAGAATAGCCAATTCTAGGGTATGTCAAATACCCTGAAAATCCCTAGCTAGTATATTATATTACATTATATTATATCATATTATAATCCAGAATATATTACAACATCTTACAACTCAAAAATCCAAAGACTAATGCTCCAATCAAAAATATGAAATTTGAACAGCCATATCTCCAAAGAAGCTATAGTAATGTTTAATAAGCATATGGAAAGATGCTCAATGCCTCTGTCATTAGGGAAATCCAAATCCCAACCGTAAGATATCCTTTACTAATCCAAAAGGCATATTACTAAGTCCAAAAAGCAATTTGGAAAAAGCAAAATACTTTTTTTTTAATATATGACAATCTAGAAAAAGCATAAGTATAGAGACAGTAAAGAGTTTATTGGTTACCAGGGTCTGAGCCAAAAGAAAAGACAAATCTGTAAAGATAGAAAATTTCTTTTTGTATATTATTATGTATGCTACTGTAATGTGGATAAAAGATACAGGTTTTCAACTCCCACAAAACTATATAACACAGAGTGAAACTAAAAGTATGTAAATTAACGAAAAAACTTATTTAGTAGATAGGAACAGCTCAGGAAGAAATGCAGAGAAAATACTTTAGCTGCACACAAATCTATGAAATAATCCACTGAAGGAGGGGGAAAAAGAAACTGACCTAAGCAACTGACATAATAAGTGCAGATTCTGTCTAAAGGCTAAAGGATTTATACATAAGCAGTTGGTATACATAAACAGGTGGTAAGGGTGTTTCTCATGGGGTTGTATGTTTCTTATTCTGAAACCACTATGCGTGCATTTTCAGGTGGTTAAATATTACAGTGGTAGGCTACATACAGATTAGTGAGATGGGTAGACAAATTCACATGGTGCTGAATAAGATCATGTGGGACTGAGGACGTTGTAGGAATTCATGTTTAATTTAATGTGGATATACAGGGAGACTTGTAGAAATTTGTAAACATATGTGTATATTTACTCTTTACTCTGTTAGCTAGCAAGGCCTCCAATCAACACATTCCCCAGTAACAATGTGTAAAACCAGTGAGTGCCCAAATCTTCATTTTTAATTTCATTTTCCAACAAAGAAGGTAGGGATCTGTGAGAAAAAGGTCAATAACAGACTTGAACAGGGACTAAATACAATCAGCCTGCAGTATCTAGTGGTGATCAAACAAGAGAAAATGCTCAACAACAATGCAACCAATGAATCAGCCACATAACAATGTCAAATCGTAACTATGGTGGTATTTCAAAATGACAGGGGACTCAATTGAAAGACTTTCTGATGGCATTCAGCCTCATACTGAGGGTTTAACCAAGGTTTTCTCTGGTTTGAGCATTTTGGACTTAGACTATGGTACCCAACAAGCATCCTAGGATCTCCAGCTTTACATGGCATGTGGTGGAAACACTCAGCCTCCATAATCATGTGATTCACTTCCCCTAGAAATCCCTATCTATCTATCTATCTATCTATCTATCTATCTATCTATCTATGTATCTATGTATCTGTCTGTCTGTCTGTCTATCGCTAGCTAGCTGCTACGTATCTATCCTAATGGTTCTGTTGCTATAGATAACCCTGACTAGTATAGATTTTGGTAGTAAGAACGGTTCTACAGGAAGAGAATTTTAAGGATGAATGTCCTTAATCAAATTTGGGGTTTATAGAATAGGCTTTCTAATCTGATTGGACCTAAATTCTAAGAACTGTACTTCTAACAGTAGAAAGAGCAATGACAGTCAATGACATGAACTGTTTTTAGAGATCCCCAAAATATCTGCACTTGATACTCTTAATTAAACACTGATAAGAGGCAAGGTACTTGTTTAGTCTGTATGTGATACAGACATTTGCGTAAAACCATGGAACATAATGATGACGGGTTTGTTGCTTCTAATTCACTGGGAAATTTGATGAAAGACAATAATGAGCTTAGGGATTCAATTTTGCAGAACCAGCTCCACATAAACAGCCTAAGAGTTTCTACCTGTGCTCTGAGCCAGAAAACTCTCTTGTAGCCACAGGGAAGTATTTGCTAAAAGTCAAACACAAGCCCTTATCATGCCTCTGGCTGAATGACAGGAAACATTTAACTCCTCAGCCTGGCAGGGTGTCTACTGTTGAAGTGGAAGTTGAGAAAGAATAGCATCCTGTAACTTGGGATGAGGATGGATGGGAAGACTGATGTGGCTGGGGACACTGATCTCCTAAATTCTAATGAGTTTTTATTGCCAGCAGAAGTGGCCTCCTCACAGCCACCCCCTTGGCAATGGCCTTCCCACACAAAGTGATGTAGGCCTTTCCATATGTGTCTGAGTAGCTTACATCTACAATGCCTAAGGAAACGGTAATGGCTTCCCCTGAAGCAGCTGTCAAGCAATACATTGCTGATTATCTTCAAGACCCACCCCTGACAGCTGTGTTTCTTCTAGACTCACGGTGAGACTAAAGTTACAACAGGCCCCTAAAGCTGATGGATAGTATTTCCCATGAGGAGGTGTGATCTATGTCAAAAAAGCTACCTGAGTTTTCTAACTAATGCAAACAGAAATCTGAAGACCCTATGTGGAAATAAAGATTATGGCTGTGGATAGCTGGGTGTGGTGGCTTGTACCTGTAGTCCCGGCTACACGGGAGGCTGAAGTGGGATGAATGCTGGAACCCAGGTGTTTGAAGCTGCAGTGAGTCACGACTGTACCACTGCACTCCAGCCTGGCCAAAAGAACAAGACCTCATCTGTAAGAAACCAAAACAAGAAAAAAAAAGTGTTGATAACAGTAGAAGGAATATAAACTTGAATCAGTCCAAATTTAATGATATGGGGCCATTAAGCAGATATTCCGGTTTAATGTTGCAGCTTGGGTATTTAAGGATGGTATTAGTAGTGTTATGACTGGTTGGCTGAAATATACTTCAACAGATGTATGACCATGAGCAAGTCGGTGACTCCCCCATCTTCCCTGTATTATGTTGGATGAAGGAATTCATAGGCCTGGGGAGATAGGAATGCTAGAATGGATTTGCCATTTAAAAGCCACTTACAGCAGGGCATGGTGGCTCATGCCTGTAATCCCACCACTTTCGGAAGCACAGACAGGTCCATCAGTTCAGGTCAGGAGTTTAAGACCAGCCTTGCCAACATGGTGAAACTCCACCTCTACAAAAAACTACAAAAATTAGCCAGACATGGTGGCACACACCTGTTGCCCCGGCTACTCAGGAGGCTGAGGCAGGAGGATGGTTTCAATCGAGGAGGCAGAGGTTGCAGTGAGCTGAGATCATGCCACTGCACTCCAGGCTGGGCAATAAAAGTGAGACTGTCTCTAAATAAATAAATAAATAAATGCAACTTACCCATATTGATAGACTCAGAAAACATACTGTTTATCAGGACTTTGTTAGGTGGATTTGTGTGGGGAGGCTGGGTACAACTGAAGAGCTCCCTGATCTCTCTTCTCTGTAGGCCAGACCTTAATATAGAAACCACAGTACACCAATTGGAAAATCAAAATGCAATGGGAATAACTGGGTTTCAGGGAATCTTGGGAGCAAGTAGCAACACTCAATCTTCAAAGGCAAGGTTGGCATAGCTATGTCAATGGACAGCAAAGGCAAAGCAACAATCAGTTTCATCTGATTCCTATAGATTTATGTTGCTAGCTAGTTTATAACAGTGTTCTTGGAATTGAAGTACACAGGTAACCTACTAAATGCTTACTGGATTTGAAGAAGCAGAAAATCTTTAGATCAAATGAACAAGATTCTGCCTCAAATCCTAAAAACCAGAGACTCATAGAACCTCACTCAATTCTCACAACTGAGCCAGTATAGAAGAAATTTTGTATGCAATTAAGTTAGCCATAATTTAAAAGGAATTGTTAATAATAGCCTTTCTAAAGAATGATCCCCTAGTTTAAATCGAGATTTTATTAAGGTATCAATTTACTCTTAATTACAATAAATTTAGATTTTCTATTCTAAAATCCACTTCTTTTGAAAACTTCTGAGATTCATATCTCAAATGTTCAATTGTTGTCTTGCTGCTATCAGCTTTTTCTCCCTTTGATGTGGCCTGGGATGATAACTCTATCCTTCAGCTTCTTGTCAGTTCCTGTAACTTTTCTCCTTACTTCTAAATGTTGTTGTGGCTGATGCTGAAATATTTTATCTTAGAGGTCTATAAAAGAAATGTGTTCCTCCAGGATAACCTGATTCTATACCTTTGGGGTTTTTTGTTGTTGTTGTTTTTGGTGTGTCTAAATTTTCACTGTAATCAGGAAACTTATCATGCAGCTACTAAGAGTCATGTATTCCCCAGTTCTATTCAAAACCTTGTACACACTCTTCCCATGTTTGATTAAATTCAAACACTTTTTATCTTAAGTTGTACTTCCAGATTATCTAAATGGGCTTTCTTCTAAAGAGAGGCAGACACACTAAAAAAGGTTTTCCTTTGACTTTTTGTCAACTGGCTTAAGAAGCAAGATTTTATATTTTATCAAGATAGTTCCTATGCTGCCTTTATTAAGTTTTTAATTGCTTTTAAAAAAAACCCTGAAATTTGAGAGGAGTAAGGATTTTATACCCGTGTAACTTTTTCTATTGCCTTTAAAGTCTTTCAACGATCACTTTGGTTAAATGAATAACTATTGTTTTACAAGGTCCTGTGGTTTAGTTTTGATCAAATATTTTAAGCTTTCTAACATCTTTCACAGACATCTCCAAAACTGAATCCTAAATTAAGTCTCTGACTTATTGCTGGGGCTTATCAAAGCTAAAAAACATTAATCACTGTGAAGTGTATCACCACCTCCAACACCCCTGAAGAAGTTCTTATCAGGTGCTATTAACTAATCTTTGTGGTGTTAAGGTACAAGGAATTGACTCCTGGATACATGTAGCTCCTCTAAAGAAGACACAGACTCCTGCCACCATGTAACATCAAACTCAACTTAACCAAAGCCTCATCTTTAGACTCAAGCAAAGGCAATAATCAAAGTACACTGCTTTCATGCAACACAGGGACACGCCTGTATTATACTTTATTTAATAATTTTCCTTCTATCTGAAATAGAAATATATGAAATATAATTTATTCTGTGCTTTAATACTAAATAATTTAAATGTTTATCTACCTATAGGATTCCTTTCCTGTCACTCATTCTTTTTGTTTGAGACAGAGTCTCACCCTGTTGGCGAGCCTGGAGTGCAGTGGCGTGATCTTGGCTCACTGCAATCTCTGCCTCCCGGATTCAAGCAATTCGCCTGCCTCAGTCTCTCGCGTAGCTGGGACTACAGGCACGCACCACCACACCCAGCTATTTTTTTGTATTTTAGTAGAGACGGGGTTTTACCATGTTGGCCAGGATGGTCTCGATCTCCTGACCTCGTGATCTGCCCGTCTCAGTCCTGTCACTCTTAGGACAAGACAAGGCTTATGGCATTTTTGCTTACAATGTTGTTAACGGTGAATATTTTGTTTTATTAATATATCCAGAATTTACAACGGTTCAATTTCTCCAGACCAAGGGACTATCATGGAAGATACGAATGCATGAGATTGTAAGGGCCAGTTCTTGTGGAATAAAATTAATTCAGACCCCCCAAATAAAGGATGGGCATACAGATGCCTAAACAGCTAAATAAAATACTTATGTTTTGTATAGCTATAGTTCCTATAAGCCAAGATTACAACAGCTCAATGCATAAAATTCAGAGACAATTCAGTTATATAAACTTACCTTTTGACTTTTAGTTTTTGGCTCTTACATTGCTTAAAAGGGGTTTTAAGGATTAATGACTGCCTGCCCACATTCATTCCAGTCTGGCCTACAACATTTAATTGGATATAAGGCTTTTGATTCTAAGTCCCTTGGCCATAGTGGTCGCACCAAGGAACATGATGGACACAGGTCAGGTAGCACGCCGCTCTGCCATTGACATGAGAGAAAATAAAAGTGTGGCTACCCATACTGCCACTGGCATACCTTGACAAAAAACGAGAATATAAACTATAAAATAAAGTCCTAAGCCCCCACCAACTTCATGGACACTCCCTACACCCATGTTAGCCAAAGCAACCTGAAAAACTAATTCAGGCCATGACAACAAGAGGGGTGTTGAACAAGCTTCACTACACCTTCCTCCCATTATGGGAATTTAGGCACAACTGATCAGCATTAATGTTATAATAAAAACTGTAAAACAGACTCTTTATAACAATAAAATACCAAATTATGAACAGGACCTAAGAACATGCCAGGCAAGAGTTAAGACACACATTCCTACACTTTAAAAAAAGCAGACTATGTTTACAACTGCCACAAGGTTTCTGTGTTTCTCTAGTAGCCAAGCAAGCACTAGCCTCAAGATAAGCTGACTGACTGACCCCAGCCACTGTTCAACCAGCCATAACTACAGATTGAAGTAGACAAGAGACCAATTTCGGTAAGTTACCCTGATAAAAGATCACTCACCATAAAGTAGTTTTGGCCGGTTTACAGTAAATGGACACTTGTATGTCTTTGTCCTCAAAAGAACTTTTTAAATACAGAGCATAATTATAACACATTTAAAAGTTAAGTCTCTGCTCCAAAATAAATATGTTATCTGTTGCATGGATATTTGTTAAGACACATGGGTCAGGACCACCTTCATGAATATTTACAACTTCTCCTGTGGCCTATTAAGTACGTATAGTTAACCAACTTGTCCTCATATCTCCACAGGAGCTCTGGGTACAACTGACATTTGGGGCTTTGCACTATAATTAAGACTAAATGCTGTGTGTACTTCCTGGATAACTCCAGAAACATCCTCAGCCCTAAAAGACATGCACAAGCAAACTAATGCTATGTCTAATCTCATGATGTCTTTAAATCATATGGCTTTAGATATCTTCACCGCAGCCCAGGGTGGCACTTCTGCATTCATTAAGGCTGACCATTTTACACACATACACACACACACACACACACAGAGACACACACACCAGATTCTTCTCACATTATAACCCAAGCTATGCATGTAGATACCCATATTTCTGCTATAGATGCCCTCTGTCAGGACTCTATGGCACCATGATTTAGTCGGCTTCCTGGTGCATAAAATACTTTTATATATATTATTAATACTGTTAAATGCCCTCTTCAGCTGCTATGAACTTTATTTCTCTTGTTCATTCTGCATGGAGATGCAGGAAATCATTCTCAGAAATTCTTGGATCCTCACACCATATATGCACAGTAAGTTCCTGCTGAAAACTCAAGAATATTTCCAACTTCAGGTACACAGATTCCATTCTAATGCTCTATAACAAGACCCCTTTCAGTAGGAAGCAGACCAAATGAATATGATGCTCCAATTGAATAAAAATAAAGTGGAATTTGACAGTGGGGTGTTGTAAACAAGTACTTCATTTTCCTTTAAAAATATTTAGTTTTTCTTTTTCCTGTGTGTTCATGTCTTACTTAGCTCCTTAGAAATGCAAATTCAAACTTTTCCCTCCTTCCTTTCCACCAGCCAAACCACCAGCAAGCACTGTCAGCTTAGCTAAATATATGTTTGTTTAGAAATTACCAAATCTTGAACGAAAATAAGCATCCACCAGAATTCTCCTCCATAGAGAGATTGTCTCAAGACATCAGTTAATCCACAACCTGACTCTTTCCCCAGTGATGCTGGGCAGGCTAACGAATGACCCAAGACTAGAGATAAGTCATCCAGCAAGTAATGTAGATCCTACACCTCCAGAACCCTTCTGCGTGCCCTGCTTGCCAATATTTCTTCTTAAAATCCTGTTTTCTGCCCAGAAAACATATATGGTTCCTTTAGATATGAATCCAGCCCTTCCACATTGCTAAGCTCTGGAAATAAAGTGACTTTTTTTTTTTTTGGAGAAGGAGTCTCTCTCTCTCCCCAGTAGCTGGGATTACAGGCACACGAGAGTGTGCCCAGCTAATTTTTGTACTTTTAGTAGAGACAGGGTTTTGCCATATTGCCCAGGCTGGTCTTGAACTCCTGTACTCAGGTGATCATCCTGCCTCGGCCTCCCAAAGTGCTGGGATTACAGATGTGAGCCACCACGCCCGGCCAGTGACTTTCTTTTTACTACCCTTCTGTTATTTGATTTTGGAAGTAGCCATGGCCAAACCTGGGTTTGGTAACAAAATGGTGCCAGGCTGTAATACGACAGATGAGGGGCACTTTTTTCCTTAAAGCAGGATCTGTCAATTCTGTTTACAGCACTGAATCCCACAGACACTGACTGCTGCCACACCTAGCAGGGCAAGTGCCCATCTATTATTACATATTCCCATGAAATACCAATGTTTTGCTGTGTTGATTGCTTATGTCTCACACATCTTGAACAAATGTCTCCAATCTTTGTCTAAGTTTTGACTAAGACAACAAAGTAAAATCTAAAAAATTCAGAAGCATGAAAACCTTTTGAGACTATTAAACCAGATGAAAATGATAATAAATAAAAGATTGAAATTCCTTTTTGTAAGCTAATGGCACAAAAATATTTTCTGATTACAGCACATGATGTACACATTTTCTAACTGGTATTTTTTATATGTCTGAGAACTAAAAACGAGTTTAATCATCACTCATCAAAAATAAGAAAATACTTCATATCTAATAGAATGGGTGATCCATACAGAGAACTGTCATGTACACGTACACGGAGGTGAGGTGGAAGGAATTATGGAGTCCAGTCAATGTCTACATCTTTTGTACAAGGAGAAAATGAAACAACATCATGAAGTTCACACCTGCATGGTTAAGGAGAGGTTACTCCTTGCATTCATATGTGAAGTCTAACTTTCCTGCCACACAAATCAATAACTTGTTAACCTTTCACATGTACAGCAAACAGCCAAAGAATAGAAAGTTTGACAGATCTTTTTAAGCATAAGAAGATCTTTTTATTGTGGGACAATTTTGCCTTGTGGCTTACAGAATAGTTTCTGTCCTTCTTTGTAACCAGAGCTATGTAAGAGGAAATTTCTGGAAAATCATAAAACAGAATGTGTAACGTCTGCCACTTCTAATAAAAGTGATATTAACGTTCAATTTATGAAAGAGAAATAGGAGTAAAGATGAAAATAATTGATACGGTTCACTGAAAAATAATTATGAATGCATTTTTAAAATAGAGAAATAAAGGCCTTAAAACTATGATACAAAAATAAATATTTGGTTTTAGATGATGTTTACATGACCAAAAAAAAGAGAATACTTATACACAAGTGTTTAAGACATTTGCACAACAAATTAAATCAAAATCAAGGAGAAATATCACAATGTAAAATCTAAAGTCTTAAGGTGTCATTGGTCAGGAAGCAGAATCATTTTTGAACAAACTCAGCCTTTTTTAAAAGACTTAAATTCCCTACCTCACCCCACAACTAAGGCAGGGAGCTGCTGTCCTTGTGCATGCAGAGCCCCCAGAGAGGCTCTGAGCTCAGAGGCTCCCCTGTGAACCTGCCTCTGTTGGGCATGGTCTGGAGGGGGACTCTGTTTACAGAATCATCTACAGCAGGGCAGGAGGGAGCCAAGGCTGCCTCTCCAGGTTTTCAACAACATTGGCTGTTGTCTAAGATACTGAATACATAAAGTGGGTAGTGGTGTTGGGAGACTGCCTAAGATTCACAAGGACGTAGAGATTTCAGAGTCAATAGCAACGTTCTAAAGTTGTATATCCACAGCCTCATTCAAGGTACAGCTGAAAGGATTGCTGTAGGTGCAAGGCATGCACGTCTGAACTTCTTTCACCTCATTATAGAGCAGCTCAGTGGTTAAAAGAACAGGCCCTGGGCCAGGCACAATGGATCACGCTTGCAATTCCTACGCTTTGGGAGACTAAGGAGGGTGGATTGCTTAAGGCCAGGAGTTCTAGATCAGTCTGGGCAACAGAGAGAGACCTCCTCTCCATTAAAAAGAATTAAAAATTAGCCGGGCATGGTGGCTTGCACCTGTAGTCCCAGCTACTCAGGAGGCTGAGCGGGGAGGATCACTTGAGTCCAGCAGCTCACACACAGAATGTGTTCCATGTTTGTGCCACTGTACCCCAGTTGGTGTGACAGAACAAAATTATCTCTTAAAAAAGAAGGAAAAGAACGATCTCTAGAGAGAAAATTCTTGAATAGACTCTCTTAATAATAAGAGTGTGGTATTTGCACAGAGACAGAATAAACAATCAATAACTTAAAAAAACAGACATATGCATATATAAGCATATATTTAAGTTGCTGCATGGGGGAAACTTGGATTTTTATTAAAATGTTCCAGGGTATTGAATATCCACAGGGAGAAATTAGAATCTGACCTATGACCTGACATTACACACAAAATTAATTATACTTGGTTCATAGACATAAATATAAAAATATTTAGTAGAATATACAGAACACAATTCAGGAAAATAACTTCAAGACCACGAGGTAGGCTAAGCTGCCTGAAACTAGACCTGAAAAGCATTTACCATGTAAGACAAAACATATTCTATGTAGTTGATGTGAGCAAAGACTGTGGGGCATATAGAATCAAACTCAAGGTTCCTTTAGGCCTCTCCTTTCGAGAGTTAGCTCAGACTTGGAAATGGACCAGAGGAGCAGGAGTAGTGCTTACTTCCTGAGATGGCAGGTGGACTGTATGAAATGATAACATATAAATCATGTAGTATATTACTAAGCCTACACTAAGCCCAAAAATAAATATTCTAATAAATTGTGAGATGTATCAATTGCATCAGTTGTAACATGTCATTATTTCCTATATCAGAATGAAAGAACAAAACCACTAACAACGGAACTAATACTTTCATCATGTGGAAATACACTGTATAATAATAACATCATTATATTATAATTAGTGGAAAAAAGCTGTTTTCAAGACATATATATGTGGATATTTGTCTTGTCTTTTGTCACTCCTATGATTACATGGGATGGAACATATAAGGAAAATACACCAACAAAGGTTTTCCTAAATTTTCTCCTATTCAAATCCAACTCTCCTGAATCACTCTTCAATTCATCTTGCTCATGATGTTCCCCATGTTATCATCATTGGTGCTAATCTGAAGCTTTGGTGATGCTGCATTTCCTGTGATATTCCTACGTTGCTTCTGCGAGGTTATATTTTCAACTTTCTGAAACTTCCTGTGCAAGATTTGATGCTGATGTTGATGAAATCACCCAAAAACATCGACAGGAGGTTTGCAGACCAAGCTCATATACAGGTAAATGAGGACAATCACATTATGACTGCCTTCCCGTCAACAGTGTTTTAACGCTTTCAAATTTAAGATGCATCTGTATTTGATAGATGTGAAAATGTGCACTCTACGATGAATGGAATACACTGTTTTCTCTGTGACTGCTCATTTGTCAGTGTTAAATTATGGTGGCTCATTGGCTACACTCTTGTTTGTTATTGAGGAAATATGCTTAAATCTTATCACATAAATTTATACACTGTATTTATATTCTACCTGGGAGCTTCACCACTGTCCTCCATTAGGGAAGTCCAGTCTGTCCACTTCTCATTAAAGTGAGTGTCCAGAGAGGTGTTATAAACTGCATTTATAATTTTAGACACATTAGAGTTATTAGTGGAGTACTAGAATTCTTATGTCACATATGGAAATATAGTTCTATGAACCATGGTTTAAGAAATCCATTGAAGACAAAGATGAAAATTGTAAAGAGCTACTTGAAAAATTCACTGGCATGGTAGCTCTCTAAAGACCTGGAAAAAGCTGTAGTTTGAAACTTTAAACTGTAATCTTAGAAATATGAGCAACGCTTCCTGTAAACTTCATTACAGATTCCATTCTTTCAGCTGTAACATTTGTATATCTTTTTCTTCATTCACATTTGTCCTTTTAATCACATGGCTGGTGATCGTAGAAATCACCTTATGATTAGTCACTGCAGAAGTGAATGCATAATGGTCTTTATAAGATATTTTGATCCGTCCCCTTGCTACTCTGGTCAACTCTACTTTGGGTACTGGGATATTGGAATTGGTTTCGGTGTCCCCTCATGAGTACACTGAGTAACGAAAAAACTCATACAGTCAGAGTTAAGGGAGTTGACTGAAATTTCACCTGAGTTTTAGACTCCGGGAAGGTTGAATTAAGTAAACACAAAGCCATGCCATTACATATGTGAGACATTCCTTCCTTGAACTCAATCTTCTTATCAGGTTAGAGTGTGGAGACAGAGCACTCGGTTTGCCTCATGATGTCGTCTAAAAATGTGGTTTGTTTGCAATAGCATCTTTTGTAGACTTGTGGTGTCCAGACCAGCCTCTATACAACTGTTGATTTAGGATACTGTGCAAAATCATATTTTCCATGCAGTGAAAGTTTGTCTGGGGACTCAGTGCTCAGCACTTTGTCGTCTGTGCCTGTGACATCATGCTATTCAAGATTTATGGATGTCAATGGGAGTTTAATATGTACCTCCATGGCTTTGTAGGCCTTTTAGGCATGGTTCCTGAAAACAACTCTGCTGCTACTAAGAAGAGTGCAATGGCCTCTTAATAGGAAGCTGTAAGGAGAATTAGTGGGCAGCCAGTACACATGCAGAGTCATCAGTCAGCCTGTTTCTGTCTCTCAGATCACTGCATGGAGGGTTGGAGATATGCTGTATACTGGTTTTTTTTGTTTTGTTTTGTTTTGTTTTGTTTTCCTACTGAGATTTCTCTTCTTGTGCACAACATATATATATCACTCAGTATCATTCACCTGCAAAAACTCTGTTTTAAATATTTATTCCCAGGCCTCTGGAAGCAGGGAGTGCCCTAAACCAACCTATTAGAAATATTTTTTGTACTCTGCTTACCTGCTATCTTGATGGCTTTAGGGTTGGCCAAGGGCAATATAATTCCACCATGTGAGTATCAACAGAGGGCACAGTCCTGCACAGTTCCTGATGGAGCCTGTAGAATGAAGAGAACTAAATTAGAACAGGTTTTCTGAAAGGTTTGAAGGTAAAGTTGTCTTTGGATTACTTGAAGAAGAAATCCCTGTAGCAAGAAAACATGATCCTGAATGCAGAAATATGATTTCTGTTCCCTGTCACTGAAATTTCTTATTCTTGCCTTATATCATCTGGAAGTCATGTCTTCCAAAAAGGTTAGTGGGATCCTGAATATACTCTGCTAAATGCTGTCCTAAAATGGGGCTTTCTGGGATATGTGAAAAACAGGCATCTTCCTTTCAAGAAGTGGATGCTGACGCTCTAATGACTAGGTAGTGGGGAAGGAGAAAGAGGATAAGAGTCCTTGGAGCTTGATGGTACCTTCCTGAAGGAGTGGCACCTGGGTTTCGAATGTTGCCTAGAAAAGAAAAGCCAGTTTACTATTCTCTCCCTACATGCCCACTTGTATCTGGAGGCAAAAGTTTTCTGCTGGTGTCTTTACTTGCTTTCTTTTTAAAAAAAAACAAAATAATAATATTTAAAAACATACTTATTTTGAAATAACTGCAGATTTACATAAATGCACATAGGTAAGTACAGACAGTTTCATATACCATTCAGCTAACTAGACTATGAATATCTATTATAACCATAGCATATTCATGAAAACTAAGAATTTAACTGTTTTTCAAGACTATTAACTGATCTACAAACTTCCTTCATATTTTACCAGGTTTTCTAATAATCATATACTTATCTATTCCAGGACCTAATCCAGAATACCACCTTACAATTACTGTCAGGTATATTACTTACTACTTGGTGCATAACAAATTAGTACATACCTTAGTGGCTCAGAACCACACACATATTACTCACGGTTTCTCTGGGTCTTCGGTCTAGATGTAGGTGATGGCTCAGGCTGAGGCTCAGCTGGGGAAGGGTCTCCTTCCAAACTCACATGATTGTTCTTAGGATTCACTTCCCTGCCCTCATCAGGAACTCATTGATGTGTTATTAAAATCACAGAAAATTAATACTAATTTATCAAAAATATTTCAAAACAATACAATAATAATAAAGAAGTAGAAAATAGATTACTTCCCATTGTATACTATGAATTCGTTTCCCCTGATTGAACAACTACACAAAGATATTTCAAATAAGGAAAATGAAGACCAATATGCCTTATAAATACAGAGACAAAAATCACCAGGGAGATATTATCAAATGAAATCAGCAACATGTAGAAAGTATCAGACACTATGGCAAAGGGTATTTACCTCAGGAATGCAAATTTTGTTCAACAAATGATATAGTTAATGTCATACACTATATTAATAAAGAATAAAAACTACACAATCATCTCAGGAGGTGTGCAACAAGCACTTGAAAATTCCCAGATTCAGTATTAGAAAAACATGCAGCAAATCAGGCAGATAAGAGAACTTTCTTCATTTCAAAGGGCATCTATGAAAAGCTCACATATCATCATAAGTAATCTGAAAGGTTCACTAATTTCTCTGATATTAGAAACAAGTCAAATATTTCCACTGTTGACATTTGTTTGCAACATTGTACTGGAGAATGTAGACAGGGCAATTCGTTTAGAAAAATAAATATAATGTTTCTAGTATGGAAAGGAAGTCAAACTCTGACTATTTGCAAAGGACATGATCTTATGTATAAAAAGTCCAAAGGACTTTAATCAAATATGTTTAGAATTTCAAGATGAGTTCAAAGAAGTTTGCAGTATATAAAATATATAAAATATTTTAAATTTCTCTGTACTAGCAATGAACAATCTAAAAACAAAACTCAGAAAACCGTTGCAATTGAGATCGAATCAAAAATACTCAGGAATAAGCTTATCAAATTAAGTATAACATATGTACACTAAAAACTATAGAACATATATTGAACAAAATTAATAGAAAATCTTTGAATGCTCATTGTTTAGAAGGGTTAATATTGTTAGGTTGGCAATATTTTCCAAATGGATCTATAGAATTAATGTGACTTCTCTCAAAACCACAGGTGGCATTACCTTCCCCTAAATTCAGAAGGTTATCCTAAAATTATATATAATATAGATACTGAGCAGCCGAAATACTCTTGAGAAGGACAAAAAGGGTTTGCATAGTAGACATATGCTTCCTGATTTCAAAACTTACTACAAAGTAATAGTAATCAAGATTTGTGGTACTAATATAGGGATATATGTATTGATCAATGGAGTAGAATATAATACTCAAAAATGAATCCTTACATTTATGGTGAAATGCTTTTATAATGTGGCCAAATAAATTAGGTATGAAGCAATATTTTCTTGTCAAATGTTTCTGGGTCAAGTGGATATCCACATACAAGTTAGACTCTTGCCTCATACCAGAAACATAATTGACTCAAAATGATAATCCATCTAAATATAAGAGCTAAACAGGGCCAACCCATAAAAAGGAACACAGAAATACATCTTTGTAGTCTTTAGTTAAACAATGTTTTAAGATATGACACTGAAAAGCACAAAGGAAAGAAGAAAATATAGAAATATTAAACTTCATTAGAATTAAAATCTTTTGCAATTTAAAGTCCACCATCAAATACAAATAGGCACCCAAAGAACGGCAGAAAATATTTCAAAATTGCAAATTTTATAGGTGATAATGGTCTGTTATCCAGAATATGCAATGTCTTACAACTCAAAATTAAAAAGGCAAATATCCCAATCAAAAATGGCAAAATCTTAAATAGCCAGTTCTCAAAGTCATATCCAAAATCACATGAAAATATGCTCTATATCTTGTCATTATGAGGTAGGAGACTGGAAGGACTTGTTTTCTGGTTTCACAACCTTGATGACCAAAATAAGATCTGCTCCAGACAGGATAAAGTGAAAAAACTGGCAGAAGCCTGTACATTGTGGAAAATGTGATCCCTGGCAGTCTTCATTTGTCACTCACATAAGACCCTCCTACCAACCACATAACTGTTTACAAATTACATGGCCACAATTCAGAAGTTACTGCCCCTTTCCATGGAGACAGCCTAGAAGTCACTGCCCCTTTCCTGCCTCAATTTGCATTGACCTGCCCCTCAATTTGTGTATAATTAAAAGTGGGGTTGATTGAATATAAATACAGTTGCCAAGAGGCCTATATGTTGCCAACTCTGAACACACTGCTTAAGAGTTAGCCCTGCTCTGCAAGGAGCAGTACCATTCAATAAAATATTGCAGTCTAACATCACCCACTTGCCCTTAAATTCTTTCCTGGACAAAGCTAATAACCCTCTCAGGATAAGCCCCAATTGTGTGACTCACCTGTCCTACAAAAATTAGGTGAAGGCAAATCTAAAAACCATGAGGTGTACTTCAAAAATCTAAAAAGCATATTGCTAAAAAATATAAGTTGGAAAAGGTAAAATACTGTGAAAAGGCAAACTTGTGACCTACTAAATAAGGTTTTTAATTTGCGTAATTTAGCTACACTCTTTGTGTTACAAAGTTCTTCAGGATTTGGAAAACATTATTATGTACCCACTATTACAGTATCAAAGAGAGGAATTTCACTGCCCAAAAGAAATCTTTGGTAGTTCACCGTTTACACCTTTCTGTCTTCCAAGCCCCTTGTTACCACTGAACTCTACTATCACTACACTTTTTCCTTTTCTAGAGAGTCATATAAATGGAATTACACAGTATTTTGACTGTTTCAACTTCTATTTTTTTACATAGCAATATACCTTGTTCAGGTAGTGTGATTAAATTAACAACATCAACTTGCTTGCAGGGAGTGCTAGATTACATACAAATGAGAATGAGTGGATCCATTTATATGGTGCTGGATTAGGTCATATGGTGTTAGAAACATTAGTAGAAATTATAAAATTACCAAATTACCCTGGAGCACAATTAAATTCACAGACTGGAGCATATAATAGTGACTGAACAAAAGAAAATGCCAAACAACAACAAAACCAACCAACCACACAACATTAAACTTTAGTTATGGAGGTATTTCAAAATGATACAAGAGACAACTTAAAAATCTTCCAATAGCCAACACTGGAACACTTTGTGCAATTAAAAAAAAATAGTGGCCAAGCATGGTGGCTCATGCCTGTAATCCCAGCACTTTGGGAGGCCAAGGAGGGTGGATCGTCTGAGGTATGGAGTTTGAGACCAAACTGGCCAACATGGTGAAACCCTGTCTCTACTGAAAATACAAAACTTAGCCAGGTGTAGTGTCTCATGCCTGTAATCCCAGCCAGTTGAGAGGCTGAGGCACGAGAATCGCTTGAACCCAGGAGGCAGAGGTTGCAATGAGCTGAGATCGCACCATTGCACTCCAGGCTGGGCAACACAGAAAGGCTCTGTCTCAAAAAAAAAAAAAAATAGCACATATGCATTGTAAAATAAATATCCATATTTAGATAATGATATAAATAAAAGATGCATGTATAAGTAAATACATTAATACACATGAAATAATTGGAAAAGAATAGGCACATGTTTATGGTGAAGGTTTAAAGGAATTTGTAGACATTCTGCCAATAATGAATGTCTACTCTTGTTGACAGTTTGTACACTTGGTATGATATGATGAGAATGGCACTTTTTGGCCAGGCACAGTGGCTCACGCCTGTAATCCCAGACCAGCCTGGCCAGCACATAAAGACCCCATCTCTATAACAAAATAAATATCACTTGAGCCCAGGAGTTTGACCCTCGCCTGGGTAACATGGTGAAACCTTGCCTCTACCAAAAAAACTAACAAACAACAACAACAATAAATTAGCCCAGCATGGTGGCACATACCTGCAGTCTCAGCTACCCTGGAGGCTGAGAGGGAAGGATCCTTAAGCACAGAAGATGGAGGCTGTAGTGAGCCAAGCTCATGACACTGCACTCCAGCCTGGGCGAGAGAGTGAGACACTGTCTCAAAATTAAATCAATAAAAATGATAGTTTTCCTCATGATCTTCCTCCCCTAAACCCACGAATCCAGTCTTATCATTAGAGAAACATCAGAGGAATCCCACATTAGTAATATTAATGTCATCAAAAATAAGGAAACTCCGAGAAACTGTGAAAGTCAGAGAATTCTAAGGAGACATGACATGTACCTGTGATGAGGTATCCTGGATGAGATTCTGGAATAGAAACAGGACATTAAGTAAAAACTAAAAAAAATGAATAAAGTATGAAGAGTAGTTATAGTGTTATAAAACTGATTGCTTGTGACAAATGTCCTACATTAATGTAAGAATTTCATAAAAATGGAAACTTCGTGGGATATATGGATATTCTATGTACTACATTTACAACTGTTCTGTAAACCTAAAACCATTCTTAAATTTATAAGGTTTCTTTATCTTTAAAGTCACTGCTGACCTTATAAAACAACATGAGCAATATGTTTGATGGCCCTTAGTGCATCTCCTGAGCTTCACCATCTTCCTCAATCACTGAAAGTAGCTATTACTGTGAATTATTTGTTATCCTCTAATTTGTGTTTATTATATTTACCTCTATCTTTATATTTCTAATATCTATAATGTTTATTTTTCTGGTCTTCAAACATACATGCATGGTTTTAATGTATTTATGTCCCTAGTTTAATCGTGAGAAATCATGAGACAAATTCATATTGTGGGAAAACCTACAAAATATCTGACCTGTACTTTTCAAAAAAGTCAAGTTCACAAAAAATAAGTGAAGACTGAGAAATCTGCAGACTGGAGAATACTTGCTGTGTCAGGTAGAGCCTGCGATGGTGCCCGTGAACCTCACCTGTAAGAAATACACCGCTTACGTTATTTCATGTGCTCTGTTGAGTGGCCTCCTCCGTGTCTCACATGACCAACACACCTGAACTCAACATTTTTCCAATTCAGAGTTCTCCTAGAAAGTGGTTGTCTTGATATGAATGTAGTGGTCACAGGTCTGAAAAGTTCCGTACGGGCATCTGACAATAATTAGAAGTTTACAGTAATCCAAACCAAATGCCCATCAATCAATGAGTGGATAAGGAAACTGTGATATATATGTATACGTATACATATATATGTATATATATGTATACGTATACATATATATGTATACGTATACATATACGTATACATATATATGTATACGTATACGTATACGTATACATATATATGTATATATATACGTATACATATACATATATATACATATATATGTATATGTATACGTATACATATATATATACGTACACATATATATATATACACACACACACACACACACACACATATATATATATATACATGTAATGGACTACTACTCAACCATAAAAAGGAATGAGTTAATTGCTTTTGCAGCAACCTGGATGAGATTAGAGATTATTATTCTAAGTGAAGTAACTCAGGAATAGAACACCAAACATTGTAGGATCTCACTCATAAGTTGGAGCTAAGTTATGAGGATGCAAAGGCATAAGAATGACAAAATGGACTCTGGGGACTCAGGAGAAAAGGGTGGGAAGGGGGTGAGGGATCAAAAACTACAAACAGGGTGCAGTGTATACTGCTTGGGTGATGGGTGCACCAAAATCTCACAAATCACCACTAAAAAACTTACTCCTGTAACCCAAACCACCTGTTCCCCAATAACCTATGGAAATAAAAACAAATTACAGTAAGAAGGATGCCTGGTCAAGGATTGGACAATTAGGCATTGAGTCATCTGCAAGGATAAATAAGTATCCCATGAAAGGTGAACTGTAAACATCCAGGACCAATTTCCTGGAGTCCTGGTGGGCAGCGTTATAATTGGAAGCCATTGTCCCAAGAAAGACCTCAAGAGAACATCAGATACTACAAAAATACAACAAAGATGTAGAGGTAATTTTATAAATCATGGCTCTAAGTTTCCATGGAGAGGAAGATAGAAATGGTAAAGTGTTACTTGAAAGTTTACAGAGTTGCAGAGTGCAGCTCTCTCAAGACAGAAATACTTATCTTGAGACTGTTTGCCTTAATCTCAGAAATATAAGCAGAGACTATTCGAAGTTGCTTTCCAAATCCAATTCTTCATTTCAATCAACTACCTATCTTTTTCTCCTCTCCTTTTATTCTTCCTATCTCATAAACGATGGTCATGTGAATCTCACTGTAAGCAGTCGCTGCTGATGCAGGCACATTACAGTTATCATGAAATGCTTTGCTCTGACCATTTGTCACTCCTGTCAACTCCACTTTTTGATACTTGAAAATGAAACAGGTCTTGGTGTTCCCTGAAGACTGTACTGCATGAAGAGGAAACTCATATAATTTATCATTTAGAATGTTGACCATATTTGCACTGAGAGTTTCATCTTCTACAAGGGCTCATTTCAGTGAACAGAAAGCCCTAATTTCAAATATAGGAGTTATGCACCTTTTAAGCTTCATTCTCTATTCAGGGTAGAGGGTGGAGACAGGGTTGGGTTCAGGCCTCAAGATGTGGTCAGACAATGAGATGTTTTCAATAGCATCTTTCTGAGAATTCTGGTGGCCAATCCAGCCTCAGTACAATGTGGTCACAGGTGGTTTACTGTCTTGTGAGAAATCTTAACTTCCATGCTATGGTGGTAGAGTTTGGGAGCTCAGTGCTCAGCACTGTGTTTGTTCTCTGTGCCAGGGATATCACGGTAGCACAGTTTTGTGTCTATCACCTTTCCTATCTTAACCCTGAGCACTCAGAACTCATTGACCCTCTTGCTACCTAGAGATGAGTCTCTCCTTATGCACGTCTACTTCCATCTCCTTCATGGCCTGCCACTTGGTGATTTTTTTTTTTCCTGAATAGTTTGGTCATGAATGATCTTCACAGTACACATCATAACCATATGTATGCATTGAAATGAAGAGAAAAATGGGATTTGACAAGTCACTTAGCTTATAGAAACTCCTCTTATAATGAAATGAAAAGAGAAAACATTCATGTACTAAGATTCTCTCTCTTTTTTTTTTTTTTGAGATGGTGTCTTGCTCTGTCCCCCAGGCTGCAGTGCAGTGGCATGATCTTGGCTCACTGCAAGCTCCGCCTTATGGTTTCATGCAGTTCTCCTGCCTCAGCCTCCTCAGTAGCTGGGACTGCAGCTGCCCGCCATGACGCCCGGCTAATTTTTTGTATTTTATTAGAGACAGGGTTTCACCGTGTTAGCCAGGATGGTCTCAATCTCCTGACCTTGTGATCCACCTGCCTCGGCCTCAGAAAGTGCTGGGGTTACAGGTGTGAGCCACCGCGCTTGGCCTAAGATTATCAATTTAAATGAGGCTCTCCTTCCTATGGGGTGAATTGTAAGCTCAGAGGGGTAAGAAGGTTTATCGAATTATAAATGTCCCAAATAATAGCACCTGAATTACTGCTACAATCTTCTCGGAAGTAAGAAATATGGTCAAGGGCAGCTGTATCTCTTACTCCACGTCTCCTGGGTGCAGGAATTTATTTTCTCACTGGAGCTATGAAGCTGGTATGGAGAATGTAGCCCATGATCACGGTCTGAAAAAGCAAAAAGAGTCCTAACTTCGTGGATGTCCTTGGGAGTGCAGCACACAGTCCCATGGCTTAGTAAGCTTTATGGACATCGTTCCTGGAACAACCCTGGTGCCCTCCCATAAAGTGGTGTGGCCTGTGAACTGGGAGCTGTGTGGGGGATGAGGGGACAATCCTCCCCGCTGTGGAGATCTTTGTTTAACCAGCACAGATGCAGAATCAGCACTCAGCGTGTGTCCATCTCTTAGATCACTGCATGGTGGGCTGGGCTATGTTGTACTGTGCTCTTCTTTCCTTTTTTCTATTAGGCTATTTCCACCTCTGCACAACACACTCTGTATCACTAACATGCCTCACTTTTATATGCCTGGTGTCTAAAGGTTCATTTCAGGTCTCTGTAAGCAGGAATCAGCCTACAACCCCATGATTAGAAGGTTTTATTTTCATACCTAGTTAAACTTCTACACTATGATATTGTCTGTGCTGCAGCTTTTGGGCCTCTCACTGGACAAAAGAAATCCATGATGTTATAGCATCAGGGGACTGTGTGGTGCCATGAATTCATGATGGAGTCTGCATAATAAAGAGAACTTAATTATCATAGGGTATTCTCAAAGGCTTTAAAAAACTTTAAAACTTGAACAAGAGAATCTCTGAACTAAGAAAACACTCCTAATGTAGAAATATTATGTTCCCCATCACTGGTGTTTCTCAATCTTGTCTGGAAGTCATGTCTTCCAAAATGTCTTTAGTGAGAACCTACAAAGACACTACCACAAAGTGCCCGAAAATAGGGCCTTCTAACATATGTGGGGCAGGCACCTTTCTTTGAAAAAGTGGTTACTGATGTATGAACTGGTGACTGGGTAATGGAGCATATGATGGAAAAGAAGAAAATGGATGAGAGTCCCTGGAGCTTCAGGCGCCTGAAGCCTGAAGCAGGTGCCCTGTGTAGGAATGGGGATAAAAAGGCAAGTACTTTGCCTTTCACTCCCTGCATCTCCACTCATCCTCTGGTCCAAGGTTTCTTCTTGTTTATGTCCATCTGTGTTGGTATTTTTTTGTTCCTAAATAATACATTTTAAGAGTAATTTTATCTGAAAATAACTTAAGTTTTACAGAAAGTTGCAAAGATAATACAGTTTTACATAATCTACAGCTTCCTGAAATGTTAACAACTTATGTAACCAGAATGTATTTATGAAAACTCAGAAATTGACAGTGGTACAAAACTATTACCTGAAATACAGTTAATAGTTTTGAAGCATTAACTGAAAGGCAGACTTTCTTAATATTTTGCCAGGTTTTCCACTGATGTCATTTTCTCTTCTAGAATCTAATTACATTTACTCTCAGGTATATTACCTACAGGTCGCTGTATAACATATAACCGCACAGCTTAGATGTTCAAACCCACACATAACTATTACTTAACATTTTCTCTGGGTCAGATGACCCAGGCTGAGGTTTCAAGTGAAGCCTCCCCTGGGGAAGGATCCCTTTCTCAGCTCATGTTAGTGTTGGTAGGATTCAATTTTTTTCTAGGTTGAGATGACTTCACCGGTGAATTATTCTAACCCTTTTGAGAATTAATAACAATCCTTTATTAACAAATCTTTCAAGAAAATAAATAAAAACAGAGGAGTAGAGAACACTTCCCAATACGCAGCATGAAGCCCGTTTTCCCTGATAGCACAGCTGGACAAAGAGATTTCAAGAAAGGAAAATTACAGACAAATATGCCCCATGAAACAGAGGCAAAAATTCTGAAGGAAATACTATCAAATTAAACCAGTAACCTAATAAGAATACACATTATGAGCAAAGTCATTTGTCCCTGAAATATGTTTTGTTAAACATACAAAAACTATTAGTGTAATACACTATATTAATAGAATGAAGGACAAAAGCTTCATAATTATCTCTAAAGATACAGAATAAGCAGTTGAAAAATCCAAAACACATTCATGATAAAAAGGCCGAGCAAATTAGGCATAGAAAGAAATTTTGTTAAGTGATAGAGGACATCTATGAAAAACTCAAAAAACAACATGCCATATTATGAATGTTTCAGTAATTTCTTCAAAAAATTAGCAACAGGACAAGGATGTATGCTCTTGCTACTTTTATTCAGTATTGTATTGGAACATGTAGCCAGGGTAATTAGGCAAGAAACATAAATATAAGGCTTCTAGAATGAAAAGGATGAAGTTAAGCTATCTCTATTCATAAATGACATAATCCTGTGTATAGAAAATCCTAAGAAAATCACTAAAATAAGATTAGAACCAAAAAATGAGTTCAGTAACACTTTAGTATACTAGGGCAATAAAAACCAATTGTATTTCTATATATTGTCAATTAATCTAAAATAAAACATAGAAAACAATTCCATTTAAAATATTGTCAGCACACCAGCATGGCACATGTATACATATGTAACTAATCTGCACACTGTGCACATGTACCATAAAACTTAAAGTGTAATAATAATAAAAAATAAAATAAAATAAAATAAATTGTCAAAAAGATATAGACATTTGGTGGCAAGGGGAATAATCTAAGAAATATAAAAATAAGGAGAGATTCTTAGTTTAAATGTCAAAGTATCTGTACATAAATTCTCTTTAGTTAGAAACATTCTTTCCCATGGGGGTATGAATTACCAATTCTAAAACTACTCTGCATGTATTTTGGACTCATTGATTATATAAAGGAGGACAACTATCTCACTGTTAGCATCGGAGGTTACATACAAGTAGTGGGAATGGGGAAATTGATTCATGTGGTCTTGAATTAGACCACAGGTGCTGGAAACATTAATAAGAATTCATGCTGAACTTTACTTAGGAATAAATGGAGAAATGTTGTAGAAATACATATACATACGTGAGTGTGAGTTACATACATACATATAATCCTTTGCTCTGTCAGATGACAAAGCATAGAATTAACAGACGCCTAGCAGAAATGACAACACCATTGCCGAGACCTTTGTTTCTAATGTCATTCACCAAAAAAGGAACCAGGAATTTGGGGGAAAATGGTAAATGGCAGGGTTGGGAAGGGAATCAACACTATTAAGCTTAAGTACCTTGTAGTGCCAGAAAGTAAGAAAAAGTTAAACAACACAACCAACCAACACACTACACAAACCAAATCAAATAGCAATAATATGGGTATTTCAAAGTGGTAAAGCAGCTGACTGAAAGGCTTCTAATGACCAGCACGAGAGCAATTTGAACAATACAATAAACTAGTCTAATCACAGTGGAAATAAATATTTATTATTTGCCAATATTCCATATAATATAAATAATTGATTAAATAAATGTAAAATAAATGCTGGAGAACAGATACATTGCCTATGGTAATGAAATACAAACGATACTATAGAGGTTCTGCCTTAAGGAGGTGAAGAATAATTCCCCACTTGTTAAGTATGCGCTGTGCATAGTGACTTTTTTTCAAAAAGTACGACATGGAAAGGGGGAAAATTAATTTTACAGTGGAGAAACTGGACCCACACTGCCTCATCCAGGTGCTCAAATTAGTATCAATAGTGATAAAAAGCATTTTGAGAATATATGCCCATGGTATAATGAATATTACACTCACCCCTGTCTCTTCTTCCACATCTACAACTTCAGTCTAATTGTTACTAAAAACAATCATAGAAATCCTAAATGGAGGATGTCAATGCCACGAAAAACATGGAAATTCAGAGAAACTGCAGAGACAAAAAAAGCTTAAGCAGACAAGATATCTAAATGTGTTATCCTGGAAGACATCGTAGAACAGAAAACAAACATTAAGTAGGAGAAAAACAAATCTGATTAATATGTGGATATCAGTGAATGAGAATGCATAATGTTGGTGTGTTAATTGTGGCAAATACCCATGCTCATATAAGAGGTTAATAATGATGGAAACTCTGTGTTGGTTGCATATTAACTCTCCATGCTGACTATGCAACTGTTCTGTAAGTCCAAAGCTAACGTAAAATAGAAAAGCTTTTTTCTTTCTTTAAAAATTTACTGCTGACCTTAACAAACTGAATATTATCAATATTGTTGATGCTCTAAATGTGCAGCTCCCCAATTTCATGGCATTTTTTACCCCCATGAAGGTTACTATTATTTTCAGTTTCCTATTTGTCATTGCCATTTTATATTATTTTTATGTCTAGGTTTATATTTCTAAATAATATGTTGTTCAGTTTTTATTGTCTTCACATTAAGATAAAGGTGTTCAAAATAAGTCTATAATTCTATTCAAATAATGAGAAATCATCAGATGAATCCACATTGTGATGCTTCCTATAAAGTACCTCACCAGTTCTTCTCTTAGGGGCCAAGATTCTTCAAGATAAACAAAGACTGGGAAACTGTTGCACATCAGACAGGACCTGATGTGGCTGGTAGACCCTAAGATGGTGCCCAATGATCCCCACCTGCCAGGGTGCATGACCTTGTATTGTAATCCTCTCCCTGTGGGTATAGGCATGAAATTTGACTTGTTTTCGTACAACACAATAATACAAGAATATTAGATGTCACATGACTGATCATGATACATAAAGTTGTGATTTTTTTTTTTTTTGTCTTGCTAGCAAGTTCTTTGCCTTGATGGCTTTGATAGAGCATTCTGCTACTTGGGAGAAGTCCACATGGGAAGAAACTGAATACAGCCTCTGGTCAACAGCCAGCAAGGAACTGAGGCTGCCCTACAGTTTGCAATTTAAATTTCTGACTAATCCAAGCCCCCTTTTAAGTAACAATATATCACTTAAGATGTAGTGTGAACACATTACAGTAACAGAATAACCCACATTCTTTCCTTCTATCACTTATTGCAGTTATTCATCTCACTTATATAAGCATAAATGCACATAAATGTTTGCATGTATATATATATACATACACAATGATATATATTTAACCATATCTAATCAAATATTAGTCATACTACTGTTTTTAACAAGCTGTTCTTCGTTAGATTAATTAAGCATAAAATTATTACTTAGATTAGCCACTAAAAAGGTAAAAAAAACCAGATATGCTAAGAAATGAGATGAACAGATATAAAGTGCTCAAAACAACGAAAGGTAGAAAATGAGTGAAATACAAAAATAGGAACAAAGACAAATCAACAACTGAAAAATGGTAACAAATTTGGTAGATTTTTAATCCAACTATATCAATAATCACTTTAAATGTCAATGTTCTAAATGCACTACTTAAAGGACAGAATGCATCAATAAAAAGAAGCATGGGATAGAAAGAATAAATTCATGTAACACGTTACAATCGGAGAAACACGAGAACATCATGAGGTTTGCAGGAGAATGTCAAAGAACATTTAAGAAGTCACGCAGACAGGCCAAGCATGGTGGCCAACACCTGTAATCCCGGCACTATGGGAGGCCGAGGAGGGTGGATCACTTGAGGTTAGGAGTTTGAGACCAACGTGGCCAACATGGGGAAACCCCATCTCTACTAAAAATACAAAAATTAGCTGGGCGTGGTGGCACCTGCCTGTAATCCTGGCTACTCAGGAGGCTGAGGCAGGAAAATCGCTTGAACTTGGGAGGCAGAGGTTGCAGTGAGCTGAGATGGAGTCACTGCACACCAGCCTGGGTTACAAGAGCAAAACTCTGTCCCAAAAATAAAATAAAAAAATAGAATAAAATAAAGACCAAAACTATCAGACAGCTTACAGGTAGGGGATTTTAAAGACACAGAGGCAGAGGTAATACACAGTTATAAATTAATATATTGAGGTTACACATTGGTTTTAGCCTAAAATGATGAAGTATCTTGAAGGGAAGAAGTGGAAGCTTACAGGTCATAGGGGGATTCAAAGATTTACTGATTTGTGATTATTTAAGAAAGTAAAATTTGTCAGAAAATTTGGGATCAGCAGAAAATAATGGTACTTCTGGCTCATAGACATAACATCCTGTAGGCCCCTCAGGAAGAAATTCAGAATAAAGAATGGCAGAGTTCATTTCATAGATCCCCTTTATCTGAGGTCTATGTGCCAGTGGATCCATTTGGTAGAGGGGCAGCTTTCTGAACAACAACTCAGGGACATATGCTAAGCTTTGATTTTTAGTTTCCATAGGGAACCCCATATTCCCATGACTCTCCATTCCTTGCTACTGTTTTAACTTCTTGCTTGTGAAGTGGCTCATGAACTTCTCAGAGGTAGAGAGGTGCCTGGAATTTCTGTGAAGGGACTCAAGATTTTCCTTTATTTCCATGCTTCGGGTGGTACACAGGCCCCTATGAGGGGTCCCTGCACCTTCTCAGGCCCTAAATAAATCCTCATCTGCTTGTGGGACTCCTGAATTTCTTCTACCATGTTCTTGCTTTTGTATTGCTTGCTGCTTTCAGGTGAGAAAATTCCTGTTCAACCTTGGTGGATGAATCTCATCGTTACTGGCCAAGACATTTGGATGACTATTCATATATGAATTATGTCAAGAGTGCCAAAGTTCAGTATAAAATAATACACATCAGTTGATCCACTATTATTTAATAGAAAGGTGGGTAAATTATTGACTATGTCAATGAAAATGGAGATATAAATAGTTGCCAGCAGAAAAATATTTTTAAAATATTAAGCTAAATGAGAAAAAATAATAAAATATCTTAACACCCTTCCTAAAAGTGATTGTTACAAATATATTTGCTGCATAGAGCAAAATTATGTGTACATTTTCTAAGTGGCATTTTAAAAATTTGTCACTGAGACTATTTATTACTGCCTCAATTTCAGAGCCATTCTTGGTCTGTTCAGGGATTCAGTTCCTCCCTGGTTCAGTCTTGGGAGGGTGTATTTGTGCAGGAATTTTTCATTCTTTCTAGATTTTCTAGTTTATGTCCATGGAGGTGTTCATAATATTCTCTGATGGTTGTTTATATTTCTGTGGGGTCGGTGGTAATATCACCCTTGTTGTTTCTGATTGCATTTATTTGAATCTTCTCAACATCGCTCATTATTAGAGTAGTGCAAATCAAAACCAAAATGAAATACCATCTAACACCAGTCAGAATGGGTATATTAAAAAGTCAAAAAATAACAAATAACAAATAATCAAACAAATACCAGAAGCTGGCAAGATTGTGGAGAAAAAGGAACACATACACTGTTGGTGGCAGTGTAAATTAGGCTAACCATTGTGGAAGACAGTGTGGTGATTCCTAAAAGACCTAAAGACAGAACTTCCATTTGACCCAACAATCCCATTTCTAAGTATATATCCAAAGGAATATAAGTCATTTTGTTATAAAGACACATGAACACATATGTTCACTGCAGCACTATTCACAATAGCAAAAACATGGAATCAATCTCAATTGTCCATCAATGATAGACTGTATAAAGAAAATGTGGCACATATACACCATGGAATATAATGCAGCTATAAAGAAGAACCAGATGATGTCCCCCTTTGCAGGGGCATGAACGGAGCTACAGTCCATTATTCTTAGCAAGCTAACACAGGAACAGAAAACCAAATACCTCCATGTTCTCACTTATAAGTGGGAGCTAAATGATGAGAACACATGGACACATAGAGGGGAACAACACACTCAGAGTTCCTGAAACCATCGGTCTGGATTCCGATGAATGGGGCAATCAGACACACAAGCACACCAAGGCTTAACCATTCTGGCCACTGGAAGGGAAAGAAACTACCCAGGAATGCCACCTGCTTCCAACTAGCTGGTCCCTTGATTGGGGCTCTAGGGAATTTCTCTTTACCTGCTGAGATGTTTCTGTCTTGGGGAACTTCCTTTCTCTTCTTGCCACTGCACCAGCTGCCAACTACACTTCCTTACCACAGGGCAAGTGACATCTGAAGAGGCTGACAGACTTCAGAGCTGGGTAAGGCAACCAGAATACCCCCTGAACTGCCTCTGCCTGTTCTGTGATGTCACCTGACCTCTGCTCTGTTTACATATAGCTGATTGTGACATCATCTGGGTGTGTATGTTATCTGCATCTATGTCAACACCTGGGCTTTGCTCCACTTGGAGTCAGCTGATTGGCGGGAGGGCATCTGAAATTGAGAGGAGGTTTCAGGACGTTTACCCAGCCCTTTAGTGGGGATCTGTCTGGGACTGTGCAGTCTGAATCTGCAACTGTAAAAGGTACAATATCTACATTTAGGCCCTCATCTCTTTCTCTCTCTCCTCCTCCTTCTTTCCTCTGCAAGGTGATCTGCATAAGCCCCACTCCATCCAGGATCCAGCCCTGGAGGGAAACAGCCTCCAGTGCCCTAGCAGGGTCACTCTTTTTAGGGCCCTGGAGTACTTCTCACAGCTGTGCCAGTTTTTATGGGGAAAGGAAGGATGTGAGCTATTCCATAGGTTATCTAAAGGGCTTGCCACCATGCTTATGGTGCTTAATGTTGTTTATGTGAAAAAAAAGCTTAACAGCATATGGGATAAGTATTTAGGCAGTCCTGACTCCAACCCCTGTGCCCTTTTTGTCTGCTAATTTACCATTTAATTTGTTGCCATTCGGTTACCCTCTACTAGGGTACTAAGGACAGCAGAACATGGACTTGGGATGAAGTTGATGTGCTGGTGGGCCCGGGGCGGGGGGTGGAGGGGGGGCGGTGGTAGGGGAGTGCTGTGCTAGCTGGTGCTAATCACTAGCCTGCCCAAGTAGTTTATTCTCTGGTCTCTTTGGCTGTCCCAACTCTGTGGTGACATTGGCACAAGTGTTCCTTTAGGACCATGAGTGGTATAAATTGCACTGCTTATATGAAGCTTGAAAAGTCTTTCCAACCCATAGAGGTCTGGTTGAAGGATATGAGCAGTGCAGAACAGAAGAGAGACAACAAATAAAAGTTGTCATCACTGTTTCACAGGGATGAGCAGTATGGACATATAAACCAAGTCAGGAGGGGAAACAAGGTCTCTATCACCTCTGAAAGGCCCCTGGGGCATACCCTAGCTAAGTGTAGATCCTATAGCTATAAGCCCATGACTAAGAGAAAAATGGTCTATTATTGCAGTGCTGTTTGGACTGTGGACAAGTTATGTTATAAATTTTGACCTCTGAAAGGACGCAACCAATACTAGCCTTTAATGCAGTTAGACTCATTTTGTCAGAGGTCGGGAAAATTAGAAAAAATACAATATGTCCAAACCTTCATCCTTTTTGAAAATCAGGATTCATACCATGAGGGAAGATGTACCAAAGGACAGAATGGAAAAAAGGCTCTTCACAAGCCAGAGAGCCAAATTCAGGCAGAAAGCAATGAAGAAGAATTAGGACTTTTAAATGTCCTACACCCAAGCTGTTTTAGCAGCTCCAGCCGCCACAGCCAGAACGCACCTGGCCTCTGCTCCACCCCAACAGCTCCCACTGCAGTACTGCCATACCGGGCCCTTAGCACTGGCCTCTGCGTTGGCCCAAATTGCCTTCATGCTACCAAGTGAGGCATCAGACCAATAAGAGGGAGCTACTCTGCCACCTCAGTATAATGAGAGAACAGAGACGGCCTCTCCTTCCAGTGCTTGACAGGGTACACGATTTAGCAAGGAAGTGCCATGGCCAGAGCAAGGGAATTCCCATTTATAAGGATGGCCATGGGTGGCTTGGATGCGAGTGGGCAACCTGTCAGACATTACTGGACATCCAGCCCATTTTCAACAACTAACTTGTGAAACGGAAAAACTCCACCCCACTTTATAGAATGGATCCCCAGAAAATGACTGCTCTCTATGTGTCTATCTGTGCCACCCACCAGTGTACCTGAGCAGATGTGTAGCCTCTCCTAAATATGCTTCTGGCTGCAGACCAAAGAAGATCCAGAGTCTTGGTGTCTCCATGAAACAAATCCAAATACCCCAAACCTGAAGGAACCATTCTGGATGCAAACCCTAATTGGGGCTCCAATTGATAAGGGGACATGGCCCATCTGGAATATTCACAAACATTCTTCATGTTTGGACTCAGGAAAGGGGTGCCAAAACAGGAAGCCTCACTAGGAATGACCCCTTCCCTGCTCCAGAGACAAAGAAACAGAAGTTTCAACCATAAATGTGGAATGAACAAGGAAGGCTCTGCATCAGAAAAATCGAGGCAAGCCTCTGGAACACAGCCAGCGTGCCTAGTGTAAGGAGAAAGGCCACTGAAAGGATGACTGTCCCAAAAGAAAGGACCAAGGGGCCAGAAAAAGGAGGAATATGACTAGGAAAAAGCCCACAGTCAAATCATGGAGCAGGGTCACTGCTCTGACCACAGACAGTGATGCCTGGGGACTCTCCTTAATCACTTAGAGACAATTAAAATTTCCCCACAGGAACCCTGGGTACAACTGACAGTGAGGAAAAAGTTAATTGATTTCCTGGTTGATACTGGGCAAACTATTCAGTTTTAACACTTTACGAGCAAAAAGCACCAAAATGATCATACCTGTGATAGGAGTTGCAAGAATAATGCAACAAAAGGCTTTCCTACAACCTTTAGAATGCAAACTAGAAAGTTTGGACCTAAGGCATTGCTATTTCTATATGCAAGAATGCCCAATTCCCTTGCTGGGAAAAGACCCATTATGCAAATTAAATACTCAAGTAATTTATCCCCAGAGAAACAACTACAGCTGCAGGTCCTGCTAGAGCAAGCACTGCAAGTAACATGTTATTCACTTGCCTTAAGAAGAAACAAGAATTCTCCCTTAGAAGTCTATGAGAGAGTGTGTAATTGTGAATAGGCAGACGGAATCCCAGGAAAAACAAGAAATACACAGTGAGTGCACATGGAAAAAATAGAAGGGGCTACTGTGACCTGGGCGGCGGGGGGGAGGCGAATAAAAAAAATCAGTATACATTAAGAAAGGAAGCCTTAGAAGGAATACAGCCTGTCTTTCAAAAATTTGAGAAGTGGACTGATTCATCCTTGCAGATCCCCATATAATAGCCCTATCGTGCCTGTAAGGAAGCTACACATCTACAAATATCAATTTGCCCAAGACCTGAGAGCTGTTAATAAAATAGTCTTGGATATTCACCCAATGGTGCCTAACCCATATACTCTACTGACTGCTATATATAGATAGTATGAATGCTTTTCAGTGCTAGATCTAAAAGATGTTTTGTTCTGCATTCCAATTAAAGAAAAGACCCAGCAATTATTATTATTATTTTTAATGACAGGACCCAGAGACTAAAACAGTCTTTCAATACTGTTGGACAGTGGGGCCTCAATGTGTTGAAAAATGCACCATCGATTTTTGGGGAAATACTGGCAAAAGACTTAGGAGACCTACAACAAGATTAAGAAGCCTGGCTAACCACACGTAGATAATTAATACCAGCCACAACTATAGGAAATGCTTAGCTGAGGTCATCTTAGTTTTAAATCACCTGGTACAATATGGATACAAAGTATTCCCAAGAAGCCCCAAATACAAAAGTAGAAAGTAACCTGTCTTGGCTTTAGGTTAAAGCAAGGCCAAACGAGCCTGGTCTGGTCAAAAACAGGCAATGGCAGCCATAAAGTCCCAGAGAATGGGGGCAACTGCGGGGATTCTTAGAAAGGGTTAGCTTCTCCCAGATTTGGATTCCTAAATTTGGACTAATGACCAAAACCCTTTATGAATCCCTAAAGGGACTAGACTCAGAGGCCCTTCTCTGGCCATCTAAAGGTCAACAAACATTTTATACCATCAAAGAAAAGCTGATATCACCCTCTGCACTGGGATACCAAATTCCCAAAAGCTGTTCAAATTCTATATCCAGAAGAAACAAACCATAGGTGTGGGTTGTGCTAATCCAAATGCTGGGAGTTGTCCCACATTCCATGGCCCATTTCTCTAAACAATTAGGCCACAGGTTAAGGGATGCCCCCGCCTTCCTCTGGGCAAAAGCACCCACTGTGAAGTCCTACAGGAAGTAGAACAATTTACTCTGGGACAGCCAGTTACTGTGTTTGTGCCCCATCAGGTGCTGACTCTGCTAGAATGAAAGGGAGGCTACTGGCTCACTGTGGGGTGAGTGGGCAGATACCAGGCCATCCTCTTACATGATCCAAATATCACCCTACAAACCACCATGGCTCTAAACCCTGCCACACTGCTCTCAGCCACTGAACACAATCCTGGGTTAAAGCATGACTGTAAATCCTTGATGCAGCTTATTCAAGCATGCTGAACCTGTCAAACTAGACAATGAGTGCTCTGGACTTGAACTACACTGATGGGAGCAGCTTAATGAAAGATGTGCACAGAGCCGGATATGCCACCGTGACTGCCAAAAGGGTAATAGTAGTCCATACCCTTCCTGCAGCTACCTCCGCACAAAGTGCTGAGTTAATTGCTCTTACCTGAGTCTTTAGAACTGTCCCAGGAAAAGGGAGTAAACATTTATTCTTATTCCATAAATGCATTCCTGGAAATGCACGCCAATTGGGTGATCTGGAAACATAGAGGAGGTTACTTATAATCAGAAAATACAGATATTAAACACTCAGGAGAAATTCTGGCCTTAGTAAAGGCAATTGCCTTGCCTGCCCAGGCTTCCATCATTCACTTCCCCAACACCAGAGAGACAATTCACAACCAAAAGTAAGCAGGCAGCTGGCAAAGCTGCATAATGAGCTGCTTGGGAGGCACAGGTCCTGGGACATGAATACTCCATTTGGAATTACTAGATTTTAAACCTCATTACACTGAACAAGATCCCAAATGTGCCCGAGCCAGGGGTTTGAGAAAAGAGATTCCAATTCCCCTGGAAAACTGACACCTACAGGATGATGAAACCACAAGGCCTTGGTTTATCCAATCTCAAAACATCTACATAAAGGAACGCACTATGGGAGTGATGTCCTCGCCAACCTAGTGCAACCACATCTCAGTAGCCCACACTTCCAAAATATCACTCGGAAAATTACAGAAGGATGCATCTTGTGCACTACAAACAATCCCAAGACAGCATGTAGTCCTCCTAAAAAGGAAATACAGTACAAAGGGCTGAGTCCCTTCAAAGCCTGAAAGGTGGGCTTCACTCAGATGCCTGCCTGGTTATGTGAGCTAAAGTAAGATGTGAAGCTATTAATAAGAGAAAAAGCAGGAGAGATAACCAATATACTTTTGTTAACATGAAGTTCTCAGTTAATTCTAGAGTAATAAGTACATACTTGATCTTTGCTGAAACTACCTGAATGGGTGTAGACAGTGGCTTTCCTCCAAAACAAAATAGACTGCTGGGTCTCTGGGGGAGGTACCCCTTTCTCCACTGCTGACTTGCCATTGCACATCCAAGCAACCACCTCGAGCACTTGGAGTTATGTTTATACGTAGGACAAAAGTAAAAATTCTCACCCATTTCCCATCTATGATTACAGTACCACTCACCATGAGTGCTCCACTTTTGGGGAAACCTGGAAACATATCTTCCATCTGGCTCATAAGCAGGTTAACATCACCCCCTCTATAGACTATGCTGTACATGACAACATAGGATGGCTGATGATGGTGCAAATTCAGGCAATGGGTCAGGCACCTCTACGCAACCAAAAACACAAGAGCAACACACCCCACACTAGCAGCCAGGCTAAGGGATGGTTACCTCTTAGCAATGTGGCCAAACCCATCAACTGAATAATAATATGTGGCTAGGATGGCAAAATAGTATCAAGCTACATGGTGGGGCCTATCCATTCTCCTGGAGATAGCTATAGGCCTGAAGCAGTCATAGCTGGTCTTACTTACCTTACAGCTGGACTGGCAGAAACACCTGGGGGTGCCCTTACCTACCAGGACACATCCTGTCCCATCTGGACTGTCTCCCTGACAACTGGGAAAATGTGAAGGACAGACAACACCATCAAAAATGGGCACCCTGTTGGTTCTACTCACCAGCTGCCTTTTCCTCCCAGATAGCAAACACAGATGTAGAATTATAAGTAGAGACCCTAAGTATAGAGCTGCTGCCAGTAATAACACCTAACCCAACATTACCCTTCCCACTGAAAAATCATGCAGATTAGGCAAGTGACCCTACAGAACCCTATGGCCTTAGATATCCTAACTGCAGCCTAGTGGGACACTTGTGCATTAAGACTGAATGGTGCATATATACACCAGATTATTCTCACGATATAATCCAGGCTATGCACGCACTGAATACTCATATTTCTGCTATAAATGTCCTCTCCCAGGATCCCACAATATCATGGTTTAGTCGACTTCCAGGTCCATGGAAGACTCTCATATACTGTATAATTGGTATTCTACTCCCCGTTCTGTTTGGTTGCTGTAGTTTTTGTTGCTTTTCAAGATCTGTACGGAGATGCAGGATAAACTTTCCCAGAAATTTTTGGGTCCCCACACTATAATGCTCCAACACATTCTCACATTAGTCTGGGAACCCACGAATAATTCCAACTCCAGGTAAACAGATTCCAATCTGATAACCTCTAACTGTGCCCCTTCCCCATGGTATATAAGCCCTATGTGAGACTCAAATATCTGCTCATAAATCCCTACTAAATGTTTCTTTCTAAGAGACTGGTTATATCAGCCTCTATCTTCAGCTATTCAGCTTCCTCATATTTTGGTGGTAGGTTTGCAAAGAACTGCCTTCCATGGACTGCTAACTATTAAAAATGGAGAGCTTTTAGTGGAGTACTGAAATCCCTATCTTACATATGTAGAAATAATTTTAAAAATGATGGTCCTAGAAATCTGTTGAGGAGGAAGCAGAATTGTAATGAGTTAGATGAATGTTTCCCTGACCTGGATTTAAGGCTTCAGGAAGACTGAATAAAGGGAACATGAAATCATGGTCTCAATTATATTAGCCACCCTTCCATTGAACTCTAACTTCCAATCAGTCTAAAGTGTGGATGGAGAAAGAGTGTTAGGTACTTGCCTCATGAAGAGGTCTAGGAATTTGGCTTGTTTGCAATGATAGTTTTTGAAAATTGTAGTGTCCAGGACAGCCACTCTGAAACCTGGTAGCTTAGTATATTATGAGAAATCATAATTTTTGTGCTGTCAGAGAGGTTGTTTGGGAACTTGGAGCACCACACGATGTCATCTGTGCCTGTGACATCATTTAGCACAGCTTTGAATTTAGTGCCTGTTTTCTTTTAAACCTCAGCTCTCCAGTCTCCATCTCCCTGATATGCCACATTGAGATGGGTTACAGCTTGTATGCATTTACTTATGTCTAACTTATGGCTTGCCATTCGAGCTTTTTTTTTAATTGCTTCCTGGTTTGGTGAAGCACAATCTTCACACTCTTCATCATGATAGATTAGAAAACATGCATTGAAATCAAGATAAAAAGGGATTTGACAAGTCACGAAAGTATGATAGTATCTCCAGTTCAAATGAAATAAATGGAAACACCCACCATGTTTTAAAATAGGAACCTTAAATGAAGCTGTCATGTCTCAAGTAATAAAGTATGAGCCTAAAGAAGTTAGTTTTCTTGAATTACAAATGCTCAAATAACACCACGTAACAGTTATCCTCATCTAAGAATGAGGAATGACTTCCATGAAGCTGAATGTCTCTTCCAAGTTTCTAGGTCACAGGAGCTCATTTCTCACTGTCACTATTACCATGGTGTAGACAATAGACCCTATGTTTATAGACGAAAAAAACAAGTCAACATTATACATGACCATGGGTGTGCAGAATGAAGTCTGATGTCTTTGTGGGTTTTTAGGCATGGTCCCTGGAAACAACCCTGGTGCTGTCCAGCAGCGTGTTGAACAGGAAGTTGTGTGTGTGGTGAGTGGAGAGTCCTTCCTGCTGTGGGATTCTTTGTTTAGCCAGCACATATGCAGAATCACCACTCAGCCTCTGTCTATCTCTTAAATCACTGCTGGAGGGTTGGGGATATGTTGTATTTTCTTCCTTCCTATCCTTCCTTCCCTTTCTTCCCTCTTTCCTTCTTTCCTCTCTCTCTCTCTCTCTCTTTCTTTCTTGGGTCTGACTTTTTTGCTCAGGCTGTAGTGCAGTCACACAATCATGGCTCACTGCAGCCTTGACCTCCTGGGCTCAATCCATCCACCTGCTTCAGCCTCCTGAGTAGCTGGGACCACCTGTGTGTGCCATTGTACTCAGCTACATTTTCTATTTTTTTTTTTTTTTTTGTAGAGACAGAGTTTCTCCATGTTGCCCAGGCTGGTCTTGAACTCCTGGACTCAAGCAATCCACCCACTTTGGCATCCCAATATGCTGGCATTACAGGCATGAGCCACCACACCTCGCCTGTTGTTTAGCCACTATCAGGTTTTCCATGCCCTTGAAAAACCTGTTTTGAATCTCAGCTGCCAAAAATCTGGTATGAAAAGATTTTTTTGTCCAGGCCCAGATAAGTAGAAACTGCCAAAACCACCAACCACCATATATACATATATATATACACACACACACACACACACACACACATACATACACACACATACACACATATATATATCTACACACACATACATATACATACATATATATACACACATACATACATATATATATATTTTTTTTGTTTTGTTTTGTTTTTTGAATTCCACCCACCTGCTGTCATAATGATGCCCATCCGGTGACTTTGGGGCTTGGGGATTGCTGATGTAATTCTGGTATTCAACAGAATACAAGGTTCCATAAAATTCCTGATGGAGATCGTGGAGTGAAAAGACATTATCACAGAATTCCAACAAGGCTTGAAGGCAGAATTATCTTTAGAAAACTAAGCCTGTATTAATAAAAAAAAATATGAAAATATAATTTATATTTCTTCTCACTAACATTCCTCAATCTTGGTCTTTGGCATCCAGAAACTTTGTCTGCCAAAATATGTTCAGTGGGATCATGTAGATATGTTCCTAAATGATATCTGAAAATGGGCCTTTCTGGGATTTGTGAGGCATAGGCAAATATCTCTGAAAACAGAGAGGTTACTGACACTCAAACGAGTTACTTGGTAATAAAGAGTGTGATGGGGAGGTCAAATATGGACAAGAGTTCCTTGAGTTTGATAGTGGCTTCCTGAAGTAGATGGATGTATGTATGGAAGGGTAAATGTATGCGGAAATCTGCTTGGCTATTTTTTTTCTCCATGTCCATTCATCTTCTGAGGCCAATTTTTTTTTGAGTCTTGATCTCCCTCTGTTTCCCAAGCTGGAGTGCAGTGACACAATCATGGCTCACTTCAGTTTGGAACTCCTGGGCTCAAGCAATCCTCCCAAGTCAGCCTCCCCGGAAGCTGGTATAATATACGCATGCCTGTCTTTTTAATTAAAAATAAAAAATCAAAGATTTCATTTTAAAATAGTTTTAGATATACATAAAGATGCAAACATAGTACAGCTAGTTTTACATACCCAGAAGTTTACTAGAATGTTACATCTTATTTATATACCCATAATGTATTTATGAAAACTAATAAACTTACACTGGTTTAAAACTATTAACTGAACTACAGACTTTCTTCTGAGTTTACCAGGTTTTCTAGTAATGCCATTTTTCTGTTCCAGAATCTAATCCAGGGTAGTATTAGAAATTAAATGTGCTATCTTTTGTATTAGTTATCAGTTGCTGCACAACAAATTGCCACATAGTGTGGTGGCTCAAAATCACACACACATTACTTACAGTTGCTCTGGGTCAGGAATCCAGATGTAGATGATGTCCAAGGCTGAGGTCTCAACTGAAGGCTCATCTGGAGAAGGATTCCCTCAAAGCTCACGTGACAGTTGTTAAGATTCCATTTCCTACCCTGGACTGATCATGGTGGGTCAAACTTGTAATCCCAATGCTTTGGTAGGTTGAGGCAGGAGGATTACTTGAGGCTAGGAGTTCAGGACCAGCTTGGGCAACATACTTAGAACCTGTTTCTACCACACACAAAAAAGAAAAAGGAAGGAAGAAAAGAAAAGAAGAAAAAAGATTAGCCAGATATGGTGGCATGTGCCTGTGGCCCCAGCTACTCAAGTGGCTGAGGCAAAAGGATTGCTTGACCCCCCCAGGAGTTCAAGTCTGCAGTGAGCTACATTCATGCCACTGTGCTCCAGCCGGGATGCAGAGTGAGACCATGTCTGTGAAAAAAAAAAAAATCCTGACTTGGTCAAGAAGACTTCACCAGTGAATGATTTTACATCTTCAAATAATTAATACCAATTTATCATATATTTTTCAAAAAATAAACAGTAAACCCCAAGCCTGTGGCACCTAGCAGTGAAATGAGGAGCAAGCAACAGAGCCAAGCATTTTGAGATAATGTGGTCTTGTCCCTCCGTCCATCAGCCATCAGCACCTGCAATTCAAATTCCACTTCCCAGAGAGGGAGGAAACTGGTGGCAGCCACATGTGCAGCACAGCAGTGTCAGCTCCAGCAACACCGCAGTCCCCAGGGTGTGCCTCCGGCTTCACGGAAGTCACCTGCTGCACTGGTTTGCCAACTGTTTGTTTTTCTAAGTCCTCATCTGGGAATAGGTAACAACTTTAATAATAATATTTAAATCCTTCTTTTGTTCAACTTTTAAGTTTCTAAAACTGTGATATTCCATTTTTTATAGATATTTATGAAGGCTCACAAAATGTGTCACATCAAATGTCTACATGTTAGGTCTCCTGAGCATACAAACTAAATTGACCTTAATGAAATACCAGAATTTAAATCTTGTATTTCTTCTAAATAATAAGTACCTGTTTGTCAACCCATATTTTCATGTTTGTCTATACTTGTAGGTAGTGTAAAGAAAGAAATATGCAAAACAATGAAATCATATTAAAAAGAGTAATTTATCACCCACCTTTCTCTCTCCCTTTCTAGTGTTTTCTAAATCTCCATCTATGTAGCCCAATTACATCTTTTTACTACTCTGATTTGGTTTTATTCACTTACACAATATAATTGTTTGCAAAGTCTGAAAATTACCTTGAAAAAATGTACATTTTTTCTCCTTTTCATGTGTTCCATTCTATTTGTGCTAAATAAATTTAGACCTTTCACATAAAAAACAGTAAGAGCAACATGAAGAATAGATCACTTTCCAATGTGAATTATCAGCCTTATACCACAGCTAGACAAAGTTACTGAAGAAAAACTATGATCATATTGATCATATGACTTATGAACATAAACACAAAAATTAAAGGAAATACTATCAAAGCAAATAACTGACATGTAAAAATTTATAAATTTTGACGAAGGTATACATCTTACGAATGCAAATTTGGTTCAACATACGAAAAGAATTAGTGCCATAAACTATATTAAGAGATAAGGGACACAATACACATGGTCATCTTAAAAGATGAGCAATAAGCACCTGCTAAAGTGAAATTTCATTCCTTATAAAACCATGCAACAAGTTAGGCAAATAAGAAAAGTTTCCTCACCATGAAAGCACAGAAAACCTCACATGACATCCTAAATCTTCTGAGAAGCTCAAGAACTTTCTTGTAAAATTAGAAACAAGAGAAGGCTATCACTTTCACAGTTTTATTCAACACTGTATTGGAGGATATGAACAAGGTAATTGGTATAGAAAATAAATATAAAAAAGTCAGATTTGAAGGAAAGTCAAATTATGTCTCCAAATGACATGATCCTGCCTACAGACATCATAAAATCTCTAATAAAACATAACAAAATATGAAAAAAGGGTTAAGCAAGCTTGTAGTACAGCTTAGTACAGGTCAATATGCAAAATCAACTGTATTTTTATTTATTAGCAATTAACAATCTAAAAACAAAATTTCAAAAACCATTTCATGTAAAATGGCATAAAAATTAAATACCTATGAATTAATTTAATAAAATAAGTATAAGATACATATACTGAGGACTAGAAAACATATCAAAGAAATTAATACAATTATAAATTAAATACATTGAGCTTAAATAAATTAAATACACTGCACTCCAGCCTGTAGGACAAAGTGAGACCCTGTCTCTGTCTCTCTCTCTCTCTCACACACACACACACACACACACACACACACACACACACACAGTCATTCTATCAAAAAGACACTTACACTTCTAGGTTCATCACAGCACAATCCACAATTGCAAAAATATGAAATCAATCTAAGTGCCCATCAACCAATTAGTGGATAAAGAAAATGTGGTGTGTGTGTGTGTGTGTGTGTGTGTGTGTGTGTGTGTGTGTATGTATATTACAGAATACTACTCAGCCATAGAAAAGAACAAAATAGTGTTTTTCAAAGCAATTTGGCCATTATCATTAGTGAAGTAACTCAGGAGCAGAAAACCAAATACCACATGTTCTCACTTATAAGTTTGGGGTAAGCAATGGATATGCAGGAGCATGCAGAGGGGGATCATGGACATTAAAGATTCCGAAAGGAGGAGGGTTGGAGGCTAGTGAGGGATAAAAAATTACCTATGAGGTAAAATGTACACTATTCAGGTGACAGGTACACTAAAAGCCCCAGACTTCACCACCATACAATTCATGCATGTAACCAAAAACTACATGTAATCCCAAAGCTATTGAAATTTTAATAAATTTATTTCAAAGAAAAAGCAGTGGTGTATGATTCTCCAAGTACTGAGTGTGTGTTGTATATAGTGACTTTTTTTATACACACAACATGAAAAGGAAGAAAAAGAAAAATTTTACAGAAGAGATTTTTAGAACTAAAAGATTTTTATCCAGGTGATCAAATTAACATCAACAGTGATAAAGCCTGTTGACAGCTTGTGCCCTGGATATTATGTGATAGGAATGGTACTTTTCGTCTGTATTCTTCCTCCCCAGAAGTCCAGTCTCATCATGAGAGAAACATCAGAGTAATCCTAAATTAGAAACGTCAATGGCATCAAAAACAAGGAAATTCTGAGAAACTATCACATTCAATGGAGCCTGTAAAGCCATAATATCTAAATGTGATGACGTATCCTGGAAGAGATCCTAAAACATAAACTTAACATTAAGCAAAAACTAAAAAATCAGAATAAAGTATGTATAGTACTCAATGACAATACATGATATTGGTTGGTTAATTTTGACAAAGGTTTCACACTATGAGATTAATAATAAAGGACACTGTGCATGGAGTATATGGAAACTCTCTACTAGATTTGCAACTGTTCTGTAAATGTAAAACCACAGAACTGTTTTTTGTTTTTGTTTTTGTTTTTTGGTTTTTTTTTTGAGACACTCTCCCTCTGTTGCCCAGGCTGGAGTACAGTGGCGTGATCTCGGCTTACTGCAACCTCCGCCTCCTGGAGTCAAGCGATTCTCCTGTCTGAGCCTCCCGAGTAGCTGGGATTACAATCATCCACCACCATGCCAGGCTAATTTTTTGTATTTTTACTAAAGACAGAGTTTTGCCATGTTGCTCTAGGACTCCTGACCTCAGGTGATCTGCCCGCCTTAGTCTCCTAAAGTGCTGGGATTATAGATGTGAGCCACTATGCCCAGCCTTGGAAAACCATTCTTTAAAACTTGTTTTTTTTTTGTTGTTGTTGTTGTTAATGTCACTCCCAAGCTTAAAAAAAAATCATTAGCAATATTGTTGATACCTCCTTTGTGCATCTCCTTAATTTCTCAGTTTTCCTTAAGCACTGAACTTAATTATATTGTGAATTGTCATTCCATACTTTAAAAATAGTTTTTCCTCTTTGAGTATTTCTTAATACTATATTCTTTAGGTCTTTTTCGTCTTCAGATTTAAGTGAAGGTGTTTAATTCATTGATATTCCTAGTTTAATCATGAGAAAACATCAGCTAAAACCATATCGTGGGACATCCTATTAAATACCTGACTGGTACTTTTCAAAAGGGTCAAGGTCAAGAAAAAGAAGTGAAGGCCAGGAAACTGTTTCATAAACGAGAATACCTGATGTGTCAGGTAGACTCTAAGTTGGTGCCCATTTATCCGCACCTTCTCATATACACAACCTTCTACTGTAATCCCATCCAAGTGAGTCTAAGTAGGAATTGTGACTTGCTTTGAAACAATAGAATAGTGCAAAGGTATAGAAGTGTCACTTGGATTCTTACATATGATTATGATTTTGGTCTTGCTAGAAATGTCTCTCTTGATGGATTTTATGAAGTGTGAGAAGCCCCCTTGGCAAGGCACTTTATTTAGCCAATGGCCAACAGCCAGGAAGATAAGAGGTTTTTTGTGCAATAGACTGTTCTACAGTTGGAAATATTATATTTAAAACTAACCATACTGCCCAAAGAAGTTTACAGATTAAATGCCGTTCCTATGAAACTACTAATGACATTCTTCACAGAACTAGAAAAAAATTGTGTTAAAATTCATACGGAACCAAAAAAGAGCCCCAATAGACAAGGCAATCATAAACAAAAAGAACAAAGCTGGAGGCATCATGTTACCTGACTTCAAACTACACTACAGGGATAAAGTAACCAAACAGCATGGTGCTGCTACAACAGCAGGCACATAGACCACTTGAACAGAATAGAGAGCCTAGAAATAAAGCCACACACCTATGACCATCTGATCTTTGGCAAAGCTGACAAAAGCAAGCAATGGGGAAAAGACTCTCTATTCAATAAATGGTGCTGGGAGGACTGGCTAGCCATATGCAGAAGACTGAAACTGGACCCCTTCCTTACACCATATACAAAAATTAACTCAAGATGGATTAAAGACTTAAATGTAAAACCCTAAATTATAAAAACCCTGGAGGACAATGTAGGCAATTCCATCCTGGATATAGGAATAGGCAAAGATTTCATAATAAAAACTCTGAAAGCAATCACAACAAAAGCAAAAATTGGCAAATGCGATCCAATTAAACTTAAGAGCTTTGTACAGCAAAAGAAACTATCATCAGAGTGAACAGACAAACTATAGAATGGCAGAAAATATTTGCAACTATGCATCTGATGAAAGTATAATATCCAGCATCTATAAAAAACTTAAACAAATTTACAAGAGAAAAACAAACAACCCCATTAATAAGCAGGCAAAGCGCTGGGCGCGGTTGCTCATGCCTGTAATCCCAGCACTTTGGGAGGCCGAGGCGGGCGGATGATGAGGTCAGGAGATCGAGACCATCCTGGCTAACATGGTGAAACCCGTCTCTACTGAAAATACAAAAAATCAGCCGGGTGTGATGATACGCTCATGTACTCCCAGCTACTTGGGAGGGCGAGACAGGAGAATCGCTTGAACCCGGGAGGTGGAGGTTGCAGTGAGCCGAGATCGCGCCACTGCACTCCAGCTTGGCCAACAGAGTGACACACGGTCTTAAAAAAAAAAAGTAGGCAAAGGATAAGAACAGAACATTTTCAAAACAGGATATACATGTGGCCAACTAGCATATGAACTAAAGCTCAATATCACTGATCATTAGAGAAATGCAAATCAAAACCACATGAGATACCATCTCACACCAGTCAGAATGGCTATTATTAAAAAGTCAAAATAACAGATGCTGGTGAGGTTGCAGATAAAAAGGATCACTTACACACTGTTGGTAGGAGTGTAAGTTCATTCAACCATTGTGCAAAGCAATATGTCAATTCCTCAAAGAGCTAAAATCAGAACTACCATTCAACTCAGCAATCCCATTACAGGGTATACACCCAGAGGAATAGAAATCATTCTCCCAAAAAGACACATCCACATGAATGTTCATTGGAGCACTACTTACAAGAAAAAAGACATGGAATCAACTTAAATGCCCATCAATCACAGGATGGATAAAGAAAATGTGGTACATATATATCATGGAATACTATATAGCTGGAAAAAAAGAATGAAATCATGTCTTCTACAGGAACATGAATGGAACTAGAAGGTATTATCCTTAAGCAAACTAACACAGGAGCAGAATACCAAATTATCACATATTCTCACTTTTAAGTAGGAGCTAAATGATGAGAACTCATGAACACAAAGAACGGAACAAAGGACACTGGGGCCTACTTGTAAGTGAAGGGTAGAAGGAGGGAGAGGAGCAGAAAAAGTAAATATTGGGTAGTAGGCTTAGTACCTGGGTGATAAAATGATCTGTACAATAAACCTCCATTACACAAGGTTACCTATATAACAAATGTATCCACAAACCTAAATTCAAATATATAAAGTTAAAAAACATCAAAATAATATAAAAACTATAAAAAATAAAAAATACTAAACTGAGCTACTTTTCTAATAAAGTTATATTGCTTCACAGTTACTGTATCTTATAATAACAAATAATCCTAATTCCTTTCTCCTGTCCTTTGCATTATTGCTGATATCCACTTCATATATATATATGTGTATATATATATACATATACATGCACACATACAAACACACATGCACATGTGCATATATCTGTACACATATATACTTATACATAAGATATATGCATAGGCATATATTATTTAATAATTTTTCTATTATTTTCAAGAAATTGTTTTCTCTTATAATAAACTAAGAATATAAAAATGTTAAACCAAGAAAAAGTTAAAATTATATATAACTGATATTTTTAGAAATGCGAGAGATGGAAAAATATAAAATGCTCAATGAGAACCACAAAAGGCAGAAAATGAATGGAAGATGAAAATAGGAAGAAGGAACAAGGACAACAAATCGAAAACATTGACAAATATGATAAATATTAATCCAACTGTATCGCTTACCACTTTGAATGTCAATGGTCTAACTGCACCAAGTAAAAGACACAGATTTACAAACTGAATCAAAAAACAAGATACAACTGTTATTTATAAGCCCAACCCAAATATAAAGACAAATAAAAGTACATGAATGGAACAAAATGTACGATGCTAACTCTAATCAAAGTAAACAAGAGGACCTATATGAATTACAGGCAGAGCAGACTTCAAAGCAAGAAAAGTTATCAGGAATAAAGAAGGGCATTACATAGAGATGAAGAGCCATTCTTCCAAGAAGATGTCCTAATTCTTAAAGCCTATGAGCCTGATAACAGAGCATAAACTATGAGGCAGAAATCAAGAGAACCACAAGGAAAAAGATGAATTCAGTATTATAGTTGGAAACATTAACACGCTATAACAGATACAGACAGATCTAGCAGGCAGTAATTCAGGAGGGAAAAACTGAACTCAATAGCACCAACAAGCAACTAGGCATAACCGACACCTACAGTCTCCTTCCCTCAACTACTGCAGATGACACATTCTTCTTAAGCTCACATGGAATATTCAGCAAAATGTGCCACATTCTGGGACAAAAAATACCCTAACAACTTTTAAAAAGTAAATCATACAATGTCAGCTCTAAGACCACAGTGGAATTAAAATAGAAATCAAAGGATGAATGGAATGATAACTGTAATATCCCAAAATGCATTGAGATTAAACAACACACTTCGGTATAATATATGGGTCAAAGAAGATATCTCCAGAGAAATTTTTTTAAATTAACTAAATGAAAATAAAAACACAATTTATCAAAATTTGTAGGATGAAAGGAAAGCAGAACATAAAGGCAAATAAATACCATTGAACACATACATAGGAAACAATGAAAAGACCAAAAATCTGTCATCTGTGTTTACACCTTTGGAAACTAGAAAAAGAAGAATATATTAAATCTAAAGTCAGTAAAAGAAAAGCGATAATTTTGTTAACAGACTAAAACAAAGGAAAAGTTAAAGCAACTGGATTTTTCAAACAAATATTATCTTAATAGTTCACAGAGCACAGAGGGATCCAAAATTAACAGGGCAAACAAAGCACCCACAACACCCCCCTTGCTTACGGGCATGCAGCCATGACCCCCTCAGAAATGGGGACCCCGCACTTCAGAAATGATCAGTTTAGTCTGTTATTAAGTAAACATTCTTGTATATATTTTCATATTAATTTACCAACTCTATTTACAATCTACTTAGTTATTAGAAATATTAGACTTATTAGTGACGTGCTGTAATTGTTTTATAAACTACGGTTCAAGAAATCTATTGACGAGGAAGATATAAATTGTAGAGAGACACTTGAAATTTTTCCTGAAGTGTTAGTTTTCTAAAGACTAAGGAAAATCTATATTAAAAAAATTGTGTCCTAAAGTTAGAAATATAAGCAATGATCCCTGCAAGCCATATTACAAATTCAATTCTTTAATCTATAACATTCTTGATCTCTGTTTTTCTTCATTCTCATTCACCCTTTTAATCACACAAATGGTGATAATACATAGTCACTGTAGAAGTAGATGCATTGTGATCTTCATAAAATGCTTTGTTCTGCCCCCTTGCTACTCTGGCAAACTCTACTTTTGGACACTTGGATATTGAAATTAGTTTTCCTGTATCCTTGGGAAAATACTAAGTGAAGAAGAAACTCATACAATTCATAATTTAGGACTTTGAAATTTCACCAATAGTTTTACACTCCAGGAAGGTTGAATTACATGAATATGAAGTAATGATGTTAAATATATGAGCCATTCATCCATTGAACTACAACTCCTAATCAGGCTACAGTGTGGAGACAGCATGTTGGAATGTTTGTCTCATATTGTGGTCTAAGACTTGGGTTTGTTTGCAATGACATCTTTTTTTAGAATTGTGGTGGCCTTTGTGAATTTAGTTGCTTAGTATATTGTGGGAAATCATGCCTTCCATGCTGTTAAAGCACTTGTTTGGGCACTCAGTGCTCAGCACTCTGTCCTTTCCATGCCAATATGGCAGTAGAGTTTTGTGTATATTGCCTGTTTTCCTTTAAACTTGAGAACTCAGAACCACCATAAAGGCAATAGTCTTGGCTTTGTCTATGTCTGTGTGAGTGCAGCATGCAGACTCACGGCTTGGTAGGCTTTGTAGGCATGGTTCTTTGACACAACCCTGGTGTTAACACCGCAGAGTGCTGTGAACTATGAACAGGGACCTATGTGGGGGATAGCTGGATATTTCTTCCTGCTGTGAGATTCTTTGTTTAGCCAGAACATGTGCAGAGTCACCATTTAGCCTGGGTCCATCTCTTAGATCACTGCATGGTGGGGGGAGATCTGTTACACACTGCTTTTTCTTGTATCTACTGAGCTTTCTCCAGCCATACAAAGCATATACTGAATCACTCACATGACTTCACCTGCCAAAAACCAGTTGTCCACAGATTCATATCGGGGTCTTAGTAAGCAAGCATTGTCATCAACCACCATATTTAGAAGCATTGTTTGTGTGCCCTACTCACCTGCTGCCAGGATGACATTTATTCTGTGGTCTTTGACCCTGGAAATGGACAATATAATTCCAAGATGTGAAGAGCAACAGAATATATGGTCCTAAATAATTCATGACGAGAGAAATAGAAATTATCCCAGTGATCTGATAACCAGTTGAAGAACAAATCCCTGTACCAAGGGAAATAAAACACTCTCCTGATTGTAGAAATACAATTTGTGTTCCCTGTCACTGACATTTTGCAATATCGGCTTCTAATGTCCAGCAGTCATTTTTTCCAGAAAGGCTTTAGTGGAATTATGTGAATAAACTTCCAGACAATGTCTGAAAATGGGGCGTCCTGGGATATATGAGGAAAAGGCACCTCTCTCTGAAGAAGTGGTTACTGACACTTAAAATGTTCCTGGATAATGGGTAGCACGATTTCAAAGGCAAAAATGGATGAGAGTCCCTGGAGCTAACTGTGTTTAACTGAAGCAGGTGCACCTGCGTTCAGAATGGTGGCTAAATTAGGAAAGCTGTGCTGCTGTTCTTTCCCGACTTGCCCACCCGATCTCCTGAAAACAAGTTAATGTGCTTATGTCTTTTTGTTGGTTTTTGCTTTCCACCAAAATATTATTTTAAAATTATTTTGAAATCATATTTGACTTACAGAAGGAGGTATAATATATATAATATATAATATATATAATGCAGAGAGTTTCATATACCTTTCAGCTTAAAGGAATATTAACACGTTATATAACCATAGACTATTCATGAAAACTGAGAAATTGACAGTGTTGTAGAACTATCAATGGAACTACAGACTTTATTCATAGTTTTCTTCAGGTTTCCAATAATGTCACTTTTCTATTCCAGTATCTAATCTAGGATACCACATTACATTCAATGCCAGGTGTATTACTTAGTTATTGTTGCATAACAAATTCCCACACATCTTGGTGGCTGAAAAGCACATACACATTACTCACAGTTTCTCTTGGTCAGGAATCTAGATGGAGAAGATGGCCAAGGCTGAAGTCTCCCCTGAAGGCTCACGTGGGGAAGGATCCTCCCCAGGCTCACATGATTGTTGTTAGGATTTAATTCTGGTTCCATGTTAAGATGACTTCAATAGGAAATTATTTCATACCTTTAAAGAATACAACTTCATTATGAATTCTCTAAAAACATTAAACAACAGCAATGACAGCGGTGAAGAGATCACTCCCTATGCACACTATGAGGTATTTTATCCTCATACCACAATTAGACCAAAACATTTCAAGAAAGGAAAATTAAGACCAATATGCCTTATGAATAAAGAGGCAAAAATCCTTAAGGAAATAATAGCAAAACAAATCAGCAACATGCAAAAATATTATACACTATTGCTAAGGGTATTTCCTCAGGAATGCAAATTTTGTTCAATATACAATTCATGCACTGTATTAATGGAATAAAGCACGGAACCTATACGATCATCTCAAAGACAAAGAATAAGCACTTGACAAATCAAAAACACATTCATGATAAAGATATGCAGCAAATTAGGACTGTAAAGAAACTGTCTTCACTTTAAAGCATCCAAAAAAATAAAAACCCTCACATGATATAAAAGTTTTCTGAAAGGCTCAATACTTTCTCCAAGATTAGAAATAAGACAAAGAATTTCATTCTGGCCACAATTCTTCCCCACATTATGCTAGAGGATGTAGCAAGGACAATTAGTAGAGAAAAATGAATATAAGACATCTGGCATAAAAGAAAGTAAAACTCTGTTGGCAATTGACATAATTTGTTTACAGAACATCAAAATGACTCTAATAAAATAGAATGCAAATTAAAATATAAGTTCAATACAGTTCCAGTACACAAGGTTAGTATACAGAAATATGTACTTCTATATAGTAGAAATTAACAAACTAAACAAAAATCTCAGAAACCCATGCTATTTAAAATAGCACCAAAAAGGAAAAACACATAACAATAAATTTAACAAAATACGCATATGACATGTATATTAAAACTGTAAAATATATTAAATGTAATTAATAAAATTCTATAAAAATGGACAAATGTTGAATGATCATTGATTAAAAGGCTTGATATTATTAAGTTGACAATACTTTTTCTATGACTGTATAGATTTAATGCAATTTCCATGAAAATCCCAGGTGACCTTTTTTCACTAACTTATCAAACAGATTTTAAATTGTATATATAATGCAATAGAGAATTGTTAAAATAATTTTGAAAAAAAAAATGGAATTTGTAAAATAGACTCATACTTCCTGATTTTAAAATTAAAGACAAAGCCATACTAATTAACATGTGTGGTGTAGACATACAGATAAATAGAATAAAATTGAATATCAAAAAGTTAACCTTTACATTTACGGTCAAATAATTTTACAAGGGCTCCAAGTAAATTCAATACGGAAAAGTATTTTTTTCATCAACGGATTCTGGGACAAGTCAACATTATCAACATTATCAACAGGCAAGTTAAACTCCTCCCTCACAGTATATGCATAAATAGTACAAATTAGTCACTAATATGGTTTGGACTTGTGTCCCTGCCCAAATCTCATGCCACATAGTAATCCCCAATGTTACAGGAGGGGCCTGGTGGGAGGTGATTGGATAATGGGGGAAGATTTCCCCTTGCTGTTCTCATGACTGTAAGTGAATGAGATATCGTTATTTAAGTGTGTAGGACCTCACCCTTCTTTCTCTTCTTCCTTCTCAGGCCATAAAAGATGTGTCTGCTTTCCCTTCTCCTTCTGCCATGATTGTAAGTTCCTGAGGCCTCCCCAGCCATGTTTCCTCTACAGCCTGCAGAACTATATGAGTCAATTAAACCTCTTTGCTTTATAAATTACCCAGTTTCAGATAGTTCTTTATAGCAATGCAAGAAGGCTAATACAGAAAATTGCTACTGGGAGTGGGGCATTGCTATAAAGATACTTGAAAAGTGGAGGTGACTTTGATACCGGGTAATGAGCAGAGGTTGGAACAGTCTGGAGGGGGTCAGAAAAAGACAGGAATATGAGGAGAAGTTTGGAACTTTCCAGAGACTGGTTAAATTTTTGTGACCACAATGCTGATAGTGACATGGACTATGAAGTCCAGGCTGAGGTGGTCTCAGATGGAGATGAGGAACTTATTGGGAACTAGAGTAAGGGTCACTCTTGTTATGTTAGCACAGAGACTGGTGGCATTGTGCCCCTGCTCTAGGGATCTGTGGAACTTTGAATTGGAGACTGATGATTTAGGGTATCTTGTGGAAGAAATTGCTAAGCAGCAAAGTGTTCAAGATGTGGCCTGGCTGCTTCTAACAGTGTATTGTCATAGTGTGAGCAAAGGGATGCTATGAAACTAAAACTTATATTTAAAAAACAGGCAGAGCATAAAAGTTTAGAAAATTTGCAGTCCAGCCATTTTGTAAAAAAGAAAAACCTGACGAGGTACTGTGGCTCATGCCTGTAATCCCAGCACCTTAGGAAGCTGAGGTGGGTGGATCATAAGGTCAGGAGTTCAAGACCAGCCTGGCCAATATGGTGAAACCTCGTCTCTACTAAAAATACAAAATTTAGCTGGGCGTGGTGGCACATGCCTGTAGTCCCAGCTACTCAGGAGGCTGAGGCAGAAGAATTACTTGAACCCGGGAGGTGGAGGTTGCAGTGAGCTGAGATCGCACCACTGCACTCCAGCCTGGGCAACAGAGTAAGACTTGTCTCAAAAAAAAAAAAAAAAAGTAAAACAATAAAAGACGAATCCATTTTCTGGGGAGGAATTCAAGCCAGCTGTAGAAATTCGCATAAGAGGAGCCAAATTAGCCAGGCATGGTGGCTCACGCCTGTAATCCCAGCACTTTGGGAGGCTGAGATGGGTGGATCACGAGGTCAGGAGATTGAGACCATCCTGCCTAACAAGGTGAAATTCCAACTCTATTATAAAATACAAAAAATTAGCCGGGCATGGTGGTGGGTGCCTGTAGTCCCAGCTGCTCGGGAGGCAGAGGCAGGAGAATGGTGTAAACCTGGGAGGATGGAGCTTGCAGTGAGCTGAGATCGCACCACTGCACTCCAGCCTGGGTGACAGAGCGAGACTTGTCCATCTAAAAAAAAAACAAAACAAAACAAAAAGAAAGAGAAACTGAATTTTAATACCCAAGACAATAAGGAAAATGCCTCAAAGCCACTTCAGAAACCTTCCCATCAGCCCCTCCCATCATAGGCACAAAAGCCTAGGAGAAAATAATTGTTTCAAGGACCAAGCTCAAGGCCTTGGTGCCCTGTGCAACCTTGGGCCACTGCTCCCTGTGCCCCAGCTGCTCCAGCTCCAGGTATGATTAAAAGGTCCCCAGATACTTATCAGTCCATGCTCCAGGAGGTGCAAGCCATAATCCTTGGCAGTTTCCACGTGGTGTTAAGCCTGAAGGTACACAGAGGGAAAGAGTTGAGGCTTGGGAGCCTCTGCCTAGGTTTCAGAGAATGTATGGAAATGCCTCGATGCCCAGGCAGAAGTCTGCTGCAGTGATGGAGCCCTTAGGGAAAACCTGTACTAGGACAGCACAGAGAAGTATAGAGTTGGAGCGTCGAGAAACAGTCTCCACTGGGGGCCTAGTGGAACTGTGAGAAGAGGGCCACTGTCCTCCAGAACCCAGAGTGGTATATCCACCAACAGCTTGCACTATGTGCCTGGAAAAGCCACAGGCACTCAATGCCAGCCCTTGAGAGCAGCCACAATAGATGAGCTCTGCCAAGCCAGAGAGGCAGAGCTGCCCAAGGCCTTGAAAGCCCTTACCTTGCATCAGTGAGGCCTGGATGTGAGATGCAGATTCAAAGGAGATCATTTTGGAGCTTTAAGATTTAATGACTGCCCTACTGGGTTTCAAACTTGCATGGGGCCTGTTGTCCCTCCTTTCCAGCTGATTTATAACTTTTGGAATGAGTGTATTTACCCAATGCCTGTACCCCCATTGTATATTGAATGTAATGACTTTGCTTTTGATTTTACAGGCTCATGGGTAGAAGGGACTTGCCTTATCTCTGATGAAACTTTGGACTGTGGACTTTTGAGTTAATGCTGAAATGAGTTAAGAGTTGGGTGACTATTGAGAAGGAATGATTGTATTTTGCAATATGAGAAAAAAACATGATATTTAGGAGGGGCCAGGGGCAGGATGATATGGTTTAGATTTGTGTCACCTCCCAATCTCATGGCAAATTGTAATCTCCAATGTTGGAGGAGGGGCCTGGTGCGAGGCGACTAACTCATGGGGGTAGATTCCCCCTTTCTGTTCTTATGATAGTGAGTTATCACAAACTGTGGTTGCTTAAAACTGTGTGGCACTTCCTTCTTCTATCTATTCCTCTTTCTCCAGCCATGTAAGATGTGCTTGCTTCCCCTTTTCCTTCCACCATGATTGTAAGTCTCCCCAGTCATGCCTCCTGTACAGTCTGTAGAATTGTGGATATAGTAAACCACTGTTCTTTATTACTTACCCAGTCTCAGGTAGTTCTTTATAGCAGTGTGGGAACAGACTAATACAATCATACACCTAAAAAGCCAAAACTAAAAACAAAAACAAATTGTTTAACAAAGGTTAAACAATGATTTCTAAGATATGACAACTAATGCACAAGAGGAAGGAGAAAATAGATATATTGAAACATCACTAATAACATACATCATAATGTAAAGTACATAACAAAAGAAACAATTTAAAAATGGGAGAAAAGTCTTTGTATGTCAAATATCCAATAAGAATTTATAATCCAGAATATATTACATCTTAAAACGCAAAAATCCAAAGGCAAATGCTCCAATCAAAAATAGAAAATTTGAACAGTCATGTCTCCAAAGAAGCTATAGTAATGTTTAATAAGCATATGGAAAAATGCTCAATGCCTCTGTCATTAGGGAAATGCAAATCCCAACCATAAGATATCCTTTACTAATCCTAAAGGCATATGAGTAAGTCCAAAAAGCAATTTGGAAAAAGCAAAATACTTTTTTTTAACATAATATATGACACTCTAGAAAAGGCACAAGGATAGAGAAAGTAAAGAGTTTATTGGTTACCACGGTCTCAGCCAAAAGGAAAGACAAATCTGTAAAGATAGAAAATTTCCTTTTGTATATTATTATGTATGCTACTGTAATGTGGATAAAAGATACAGGTTTTCAACTCCCACAAAACTTTATAACACAAAGAGTGAACCTGAAAGTATGTAAATTAACAAAAAAAACTTATTTAGTAGATAGGAACAGCCCAGGAAGAAATGCAGAGAAAATACTTTATACAAATCTATGAAATAATCCACTGAAGGAAGGGGAAAAAGAAGCTGACCTAAGCAACTGACATAATAAGTGCAGATTCTGTCTAAAGGCTAAAGGATTTATACATAAGCAGTTGGTATACATAAACAGGTGGTAAGGGTGTTTCTCATGGGGTTGTATGTTTCTTATTCTGAAACCACTATGCCTGCATTTTCAGGTGGTTAAATATTACAGTGGTAGGCTACATACAGATTAGTGAGATGGGTAGACAAATTCACATAGTGCTGAATAAGACTGTGTGGGACGGAGGAGGCTGTAGGAATTCATGTTTAATTTAATGCAGATACATATGGAGACTTGTAGAAATTTGTAAACATATGTGTATATTTACTCTTTGCTCTGTTAGCTAACAAGGCCTCCAATCAACACATTCCCCAGTAACAATGTGTACAACCAATGAGTGTCCAAATCTTTTTTAATTTCATTCTCCAACAAAAAAGATAGGGACCTGTGAGAAAAAGCTCAATAATAGACTTGAACAGGGACTAAATACAATTAGCCTGGAGTATCTAGTGGTGATCAAACAACAAAATGCTCAAAAACAATGCAACCAATGAATCAGCCACATAACAATGTTAAATTTTAAATATGGTGGTATTTCAAAATGACAGGGGACTCAATTGAAAGACTTTCTGATGGCATTCAGCCTTATACTGAGGGTTTAACCAAGGTTTTCTCTGGTTTGAGCATTTTGGACTTAGACTATGGTACCCAACAAGCATCCTAGGATCTCCAGCTTTACATGGCATGTGGTGGAAACGGTCAGCCTCCATAATCATGTGATTCAGTTCCCCTAAAAATCCCTATCTATCTATCTATCTATCTATCTATCTATCTACCGCTAGCTCCTACGTGTCTATCCTATTGGTTCCATTGCTCTCGATAACCCTGACTAGTATAGACTTTGGTAGTATGAACGGTTCTATACAAAGAGAATTTTAAGCATGAGTGTCCTTAATCAAATTTGGGGTTTCTAGAATTGGCTTTCTAATCTGATTGGACCTAAATTCTAAGAACTGTACTTTTAACAGTAGAAAGAGCAATGACAGTCAATGACATGAACTGTTTTTAGAGATCCCCAAAATATCTGCATTTGATACTCTTAATTAAACACTGATAAGAGGCAAGGTACTTGTTTACTCTGTATGTGATACAGACATTTGTTTAAAACCATGGCACATAATGATGACGGGTTTCTTGCTTCTAATTTCACTGGGAAATTTGATGAAAGACAATAATGAGCTTAGGGATTCAATTTTGCAGAACCAGCTCCACATAAACAGCCTAAGAGTTTCTACCTGTGCTCTGAGCCAGAAAACTCTCTTGTAGCCACAGGGAAGTATTTGCTAAAGGTCAAACACAAGCCCATATCATGCCACTGGCTGAATTACAAGAAACATTGAACTGAGTCTGGCAGGGTGTCTACTGTTGAAGTGGAAGTTGATAAGGAATAGCATCCTGTAACTTGGGATGACGATGTATGGGAAGACTGATGTGGCTGGGGACATTGATCTCCTAAATTCTAATGAGTTTTTATTGCCAGCAGAAGTGGCCTCCTCACAGCCACCCCCTTGGCAATGGCCTTCCCACACAAGGTGATGTAGGCCTTTCCATATACGTCTGAGTAGCTTACAGCTACAATGCCTAAGGAAACGGTAATGGCTTCCCCTGAAGCAGCTGTCAAGCAATACATTGCTGATTATCTTCAAGACCCACCCCTGACAGCTGTGTTTCTTCTAGACTCATGGTGAGACTAAAGTTACAACAGGCCCCTAAAGCTGATGGATAGTATTTCCCATGAGGAGGTGTGATCTATGTCAAAAAAGCTACCTGAGTTTTCTAACTAATGCAAACAGAAATCTGAAGACCCTATGTGGAAATAAAGATTATGGCTGTGGATAGCTGGGTGTGGTGGCTTGTACCTGTAGTCCCGGCTACACGGGAGGCTGAAGTGGGATGAATGCTGGAACCCAGGTGTTTGAAGCTGCAGTGAGTCACGACTGTACCACTGCACTCCAGCCTGGCCAAAAGAACAAGACCTCATCTGTAAGAAACCAAAACAAGAAAAAAAAAGTGTTGATAACAGTAGAAGGAATATAAACTTGAATCAGTCCAAATTTAATGATATGGGGCCATTAAGCAGATATTCCGGTTTAATGTTGCAGCTTCGGTATTTAAGGATGGTAGTAGTAGTGTTATGACTGGTTGGCTGAAATATAGTTCAACAGATGTATGACCATGAGCAAGTCAGTGATTCCCGCATCTTCCCTGCATTATGTTGGATGAAGGAATTCATAGGCCTGGAGAGACAGGAATGCTAGAATGGATTTCCCACTTAAAAGCAACTTACAGCAGGGCATAGTGGCTCATGCCTGTAATCCCAGCACTTTTGGAAGCCGAGACAGGTCCATCACTTGAGGTCAGGAGTTTAAGACCAGCCTTGCCAACACAGTGAAACCCCATCTCTACAATAAAACTACAAAAATTAGCCAGACATGAGGCACACACCTGTTGCCCCAGCTACTCAGGAGGCTGAGGCAGGAGGATGGTTTCAATCGAGGAGGCAGAGGTTGCAGTGAGCTGAGATCATGCCATTGCGCTCCAGCCTGGGCAAAAAAGGTGAGACTCTGTCTCTAAATAAATAAATGCAACTTACCAGTATTGATAGACTCCAGAAAACAGACTGTTTATCGGGACTTTGTTAGGTAGATTTGTGTGGGGAGCTGGGAACAGCTGAAGAGCTCTTTGATCTCTCTTCTCGGTAGACCAGACCTTAATATAGAAACCAGAGTACACCAATTGGAAAATCAAAATGCAATGGGAATAACTGGGTTACAGGGAAACCTGGGAGCAAGTAGCAACACTCAGTCTTCAAAGACAAGGTTGGCATAGTTATCTCAATGGACAGCAAAGGCGAAGCAACAATCAGGTTCATCTGATTCCTATAGATTTATGTTGCTGGCTAGTTTATAATAGTGTCCTTGGAATTCAAGTACACAGGTAGCCTACTAAATGCTTACTGGATTTGAAAAAGCAGAAAATCTTTAGATCAAATGAACAAGATTCTGCCTCAAATCCTAAGAACCAGAGACTCACAGAACCTCACTCAATTCTCACAACTGAGCCAGTATAGAAGAAATTTTGTATGCAATTAACTAAGCCATAATTAAAAAGGAACTGTTAATAATAGTCTTTCTAAAGAATGGTCCCCTATGTTAAATCAAGATTTTCTTAAGATATCAATTTACTCTTAATAAAATTACAGTAAACTTTGATTTTCTGTTCTATAATCTACTTCTTTTGAAAACTTCTGAGATTCATATCTCAAATGTTCAATTGTTGTCTTGCTACTATCAGCTTTTTCTCCCTTTGATGTGGCCTGGGATGATAACTCTATCCTTCAGCTTCTTGTCAGCTCCTGTAACTTTTCTCCTTACTTCTAAATGTTGTTGTGGCTGATGCTGAAATATTTTATCTTAGAGGTCTATAAAAGAAATGTTTTCCTCCAGGATAACCTGATTGTATACTCTTGATTTTTTTCTTGTTGTTGTTTTTGGTGTGTCTAAATTTTCACTGTAATCAGGAAACTTATCATGCAGCTACTAAGAGTCATGTATTCCCCAGTTCTACTCAAAACCTTGTACACACTCTTCCCATGTTTGATTAAATTCAAGCACTTGTTATCTTAAGTTGTACTTCCAGATTATCTAAATGGGCTTTCTTCTAAGGAGAGGCAGTCACACTAAAAAAGGTTTTCCTTTGACTTTTTGGTAACTGGCTTAAGAAACAAGATTTTACATTTTATCAAGATAGTTCCTATGCTGCCTTTATTAAGTGTTTAATTGCTTTTAAAAAACCCCTGAAATTTGAGAGGAGTAAGGATTTTATACCCGTGTAACTTTTTCTATTGCCTTTAAAGTCTTTCAAAGATCACTTTGGTTAAATGAATAACTATTCATTTACAAGGAACTGTGGTTCAGTTTTGATCAAATATTTTAAGCTTTCTCACATCTTTCACAGACATCTCCAAAACTGAATCCTAAATTAAGTCTCTGACTTCTTGCTGTCACTTATCAAAGCTAAAAAACATTAATCACTATGCAGTGTATCACCACCTCCAATACCCTGAAAAAGTTCTTATCAGGTGCTATTAACTAATCATTGTCATGCTAAGGTACAAGGAACTGACTCCTGGATACATGTAGCTCCTCTAAAGAAGACACAGACTCCTGCCAGCATCTAAGATCAAACTCAACTTAACCAAAGCCTCATCTTTAGACTCAAGCAAAGGCAATAATCAAAGTACACTGCTTTCATGCAACACAGGGACAGGCATGTATTAAACTTTATTTAATAATTTACCTTCTATCTGAAATAGAAATACAAGAAATATAATTTATTCTGTGCCTTAATACTAAATAATTTAAATGTTTATCTACCTATAGGATTCCTTTCCCGTCACTCATTCTTTTTTTTTGAGACGGACTCTTGCTCTGTTGCCCAGGCTGGAGTGCAGTGGCGTGATCTTGGCTCACTGCAATCTCTGCCTCCCGGGTTCAAGCAATTTCCCTGCCTCAGCCTCCTGAGTAGCTGGGACTACAGGCGTGCACCACCACGCCAAGCTATTTTTTTGTCTTTAAGTAGAAACGGGGTTTTACCATGTTGGCCAGGATGGTCTCGATCTCCTGACCTCGTATGCCTGTCTCAGTCCTGTCACTCTTGGAACAAGACAAGGCTTATGGCATTTTTTGCTAAAATGTTGTTAATGGTGAATATTTTGTTTCATTAATATATCCAGAATTTAAAACGGTTCAATTTCTCCAGACCCAGGGACTATCATGGAAGATACGAATGCATGAGTTTGTAAGGGCTGGTTCTTGTGGAATAAAATTAATTCAGACCCCCCAAATAAAGGATGGGCATACAGATGCCTAAACAGCTAAATAAAATACTTATGTTTTCTATAGCTATGGTTCCTATAAGCCAAGATTACAACAGCTCAATGCATAAAGTTCAGAGACAATTCAGTTACATAACCTTACCTTTTGACTTTTAGTTTTTGGCTCTTACATTGCTTAAAAGGGGTTTTAAGGATTAATGACAGCCTGCCGCATTCATTCCAGTCTGGCCTACAGACTGGAATTGGATATAATTGGATATAAGACTTACGATTCTAAGTCCCTTGGCCATAGTGGTAGCACCAAGAAACATGATGGACACAGGTCAGGTAGCATGCTGCTCTGCCATTGACATGAGAGAAAATAAAAGTGTGGCTACCAATACTGTCTCTGGCATACCTTGACAAAAAACGAGAATATAAACTATAAAAGAAAGTCCTAAGCCCCCACCAACTTAATGGACAAACCCTACCCCCATGTTACCCAAAGCAACCTGAAAAACTAATTCAGGCCATGACAACAAGAGGTGTGATGAACAAGCTTCACTACACCTTCCTCCCATTATGGGAATTTGGGCACAACTGATCAGCATTAACGTTACAATAAAAACTGTAAAACAGACTCTTTATAACAATAAAATACTAAACTATGAACAGGACTTAAGAACGTGCCAGGCAAGAGTTAAGTCTCACATTCCTACACTTTAAAAAAAGCAGACTATGTTTACAACTGCCACAAGGTTTCTGTGTTTCTCTAGCAGCCAAGCAAGCATTAGCCTCAAGATAAGGTGACTGACTGACCCCAGACACTGTTCCACCAGCCATAACTACAGATTGAAGTAGACAAGGGACCAATTTCGGTAATTTTCTCCTGATAAAAGATCACTCACCATAAACTAGTTTTGGCCGGTTTACAGTAAATACACACTTGCATGCCTTTGTCTAAAAAGAACTTTTGAAATATAGGGCATAATTATAATACATTTAAAAGTTAAGTCTCTGCCCCAAAATCAATGAGTCATATGTTCCATGGATATTTGTTAATACATAGGTCAGCACCACCTTCATGAACATTTACAACTCCTCCTGTAGCCTGTTAAGTATGTATAGTTAACCAACTTGTCCTCATATCTCCACAGGAGCTCTGGGTAAACTGACATTTGGGGATTTGCACTATAATTAAGACTAAATGCTGTGTGTACTTCCTGGGTAACTCCAGAAACATATCCTCAGCCCTAAAAGACATGCACAAGCAAACTAATGCTATGTCTAATCTCATGATGTCTTTAAATCATATGGCTTTAGATATCTTCACTGCAGCCCAGGGTGGCACTTCTGCATTCATTAAGGCTGACCATTTTACACACATACACACACACACACACACACACACACACAAGATTATTCTCACAATATAACCCAAGCTATGCATGTAGATACCCATATTTCTGCTATAGATGCCCTCTCTCAGGACTCTATGGCATCATGATTTAGTCGGCTTCCTGGTGCATAAAATACTTTTATATATATTATTAATACTGCTAAACGCCCTCTTCAGCTGCTATGAATTTTATTGCTGCTGTACACTCTGCATGGAGATGCAGGAAATCATTCTCAGAAATTCTTGGATCCACACACCATACATGCATAGTAAGTTCCTGCTGAAAACTCAAGAATATTTCCAACTCCAGGTACACAGATTCCATTCTAATGCTCTATAACTAGACCACTTTCAGTAGCAAGCAGACCAAATGAATATGATGCTCCAATTGAATAAAAATAAAGTGGAATTTGACAGTGGGGTGTTGTAAACAAGTACTTCATTTTCCTTAAAAAATATTTACTTTTTCTTTTTCCTGTGTGTTCATGTCTTACTTAGCTCCTTAGAAATGCAAATTCAAACTTTTCCCTCCTTCCTTTCCACCAGCCAAATCACAAGCAAGCACTGTCAGCTTAGCTAAGTATACGTTTGTTTAGAAATTACCAAATCTTGAACGAAAATAAGCATCCACCAGAATTCTCCTCCACAAGAGAGATTGTCTCAAGACATCAGTTAATCCACAACCTGACTCTGTCCCCAGTGATGCTGGGCAGGCTAACGAATGACTCATGACTAGAGATAAGTCATCCATCGAGTCATGCAGATCCTACACCTCCACACCCCTTCTGCGTGCCCTGCTTGCCAATTTTTCTTCTTAAAGCTCTGTTTTCTGCCCAGAAAACTTACATGGTTCCTTTAGATATGAATCCAGCCCTTCCACATTGCTAAGCTCGGGAATAAAGTGACTTTCTTTTTTTTTTTTTTTTTTTTGGAGACGGAGTCTCGCTCTGTCCCCCAGTAGCTGGGATTACAGGCACACGCCACTGTGCTTGGCTAAATTTTGTATTTTTAGTACAGACAGGGTTTCGCCATGTTGGCCAGGCTGGTCTTGAACTCCTGACCTCAGGTGATCATCCCGCCTCGGCCTCCCAAAGTGCTGGGATTACAGGTGTGAGCCACCGCGCCCGGCCAGTGACTTTCTTTTTACTACCCTTCTGTTACTTGATTTTGGAAGTGGCCATGGCCAAACCTGGGTTTCGTAACAAAATGGTGCCAGGCTGTCGTACAACAGATGAGGGGTACATTTTCCTTCAAGCAGGATCTGTCAATTCTGTGTACAGCACTGAAGCCCACAGACCCAGACTGCTGCCATATCTAGCAGGGCAAGTGCCCATCTATTATTACATATTCCCATAAAATACCAGTGTTTTGCTGTGTTGATTGCTTATGTCTCACACATCTTGAACAAATGTCTCCAAACTTGCCTCAGTTTTGACTAAGAAAACAAAAGTAAAATCTAAAAAATTCACAAGCATGAAAACCTTTTGAGACTATTAAACCGGATGAAAATGACAATAAATAAAATATTGAAATTCATTTTTGTAAGCTAATGGCACAAAAATATTTTCTGATCACAGCACATGAGGTACACATTTTCTAACTGGTATTTTTTCTATCACTGAGAACTAAAATCGAATTTAATCATCAGTCATCAAAAATAAGAAAATAATTCATATCTAATAGAATGGGTGATCCATACAGAGAACTGTCATGTACACGTACACGGAGGTGAGGTGGAAGGAATTATGGAGTCCAGTCAATGTCTACATCTTTTGTACAAGGAGAATATGAAACAACATCATGAAGTTCACACCAGCATGGTTAAGAAGACGTTGCTCCTTGCATTCAGATGTGAAGTCTAACTTTCCTGCCACACAAATCAATACCTTGTTAACCTTTCACATGTACAGCAAACTAAGCCATAGAATAGAAAGTTTGACAGATCTTTTTAAGCATAAGAAGATCTTTTTAATGTGGGACAATTTTGCCTTGTGGCTTACAGAATAGTTTCTGTCCTTCTATTTAACCAGAGCTATTTAAGGGGAAATTTCTGGAAAATCATAAAACAGAATGTGTAACGTCTGTCGCTTCTAATAAAAATGATATTAACGTTCAATTTATGAAAGGGAAATAGGAGTAAAGATGAAAATAATTGATATGGTTCATTGAAAAATAATTATGAATGCATTTTTAAAATAGACAAATAACGGCCTTAAATCTATGATACAAAAAAAACATTTGGTTTTAGATGATATTTATATGACCAACAAAAGAGAATATTTATACAAAAGCGTTTAAGACATTTGCACAACAAATTAAATCAAAATCAAGGAGAAATATCACAATGTAAAATCTAAAGTCTTAAGGTGTCATTGGTCAGCAAGCAGAATCATTTTTGAACAAACTCAGCCTTTTTTTTTTTTTTTTTTTTTTTTTTTGAGACGGAGTCTCGCTCTGTCGCCCAGGCTGGAGTGCAGTGGCGCGATCTCGGCTCACTGCAAGCTCCGCCTCCCGGGTTCACGCCATTCTCCTGCCTCAGCCTCCCGAGTAGCTGGGACTACAGGCGCCCGCTACCACGCCTGGCTAATTTTTTGTATTTTTAGTAGAGACGGGGTTTCACCGTGTTAGCCAGGATGGTCTCGATCTCCTGACCTCGTGATCCGCCCGCCTCGGCCTCCCAAAGTGCTGGGATTACAGGCGTGAGCCACCGCGCCCGGCCTCAGCCTTTTTTAAAAGACTTGAATTCCCTACCTCACCCCACAACCAAGGCAGGGAGGCGCTGTCCTTGTGCATGCAGAGCCCCCAGAGAGGCTCTGAGCTCAGAGGCTCCCCTGTGAACCTGTCTTTGTTGGGCATGGTCTGGAGGGGGACTCTGTTCACAGAATCATCTACAGCAGGGCAGTAGGCAGCCAGGGCTGCCTCTCCAGGTTTTCAACAACATTGGCTGTTGTCTAAGATACTAAATACATAAAGTGGATAGTGGTGTTGGGAGACTGCCTAAGATTCACAAGGACGTAGAGATTTCAGAGTCAATAGCAACGTTCTAAAGTTGTATATCCACAGCCTCATTCAAGGTACAGCTGAAAGGATTGCTGTAGGTGCAAGGCATGCACGTCTGAACTTCTTTCACCTCATTATAGAGCAGCTCAGTGATTAAAAGAACAGGCCCTGGGCCAGGCACAATGGATCACGCTTGCAATTCCTATGCTTTGGGAGACTAAGGAGGGTGGATTGCTTAAGGCCAGGAGTTCTAGATCAGCCTGGGCAACAAAGAGAGACCTCCTCTCCATTAAAAAGAATTAAAAATTAGCCGGGCATGGGGGCTTGCACCTGTAGTCCCAGCTACTCAGGAGGCTGAGCGGGGAGGATCACTTGAGTCCAGCAGCTCACACACAGAATGTGTTCCATGTTTGTGCCACTGTACCCCAGTTGGTGTGACAGAACAAAATTATCTCTTAAAAAAGAAGAAAAAGAACAATCTCTAGAGAGAAAATTCTTGAATAGACTCTCTTAATAATAAGAGTGTGGTACTTGCACAGAGATAGAATAAACAACCAATAACTTAAAAATCAGACATATGCATATATAAGCATATATTTAAGTTGCTGCATGGGGGAAACTTGGATTTTTATTAAAATGTTCCAGGGTATTGAATATCCACAGGGAGAAATTAGAATCTGACCTATGACCTGACATTACACACAAAATTAATTATACTTGGTTCATAGACATAAATATAAAAATATTTAGTAGAGTATACAGAACACAATTCAGGAAAATAACTTCAAGACCACGAGGTAGGCTAAGCTGTCTGAAACTAGACCTGAAAAGCATTTACCATGTAAGACAAAACATAATCTATGTAGTTGATGTGAGCAAAGACTGTGGGGCATATAGAATCAAACTCAAGGTTCCTTTAGGCCTCTCCTTTCGAGAGTTAGCTCAGACTTGGAAATGGACCAGAGGAGCGGGAATAGTGCTTACTTCCTGAGATGGCAGGTGGATTGTATGAAATGATAACATATAAACCACGTAGTATCTTACTAAGCCTACACTAACCCCAAAAAACAAATATTCTAATAAATTGTGAGATGTATCAATTGCATCAGTTGTAATGTGTCATTATTTCCTATATCAGAATGAAAGAACAAAATCACTAACAATGAAACTAATACTTTTATCATGTGGAAATACACTGTATAATAATAACATCATTATATTATAATTATTGGAAAAAAAGCTGTTTTCAAGACATATATCTGTGGATATTTGTCTTGTCTTTTGTCACTCCTATGATTACATGGGATGGAACATATAAGGAAAATACACCAACAAAGGTTTTCCTAAATTTCCTCCCATTCAGATCCAACTCTCCTAAATCACTCTTCAATTCATCTTGCTCATGGTGTTCCCCATGTTATCATCATTTGTGCTAATCTGAGGATTTGGTGATGCTGCATTTCCTGTGAGATTCCTACCTTGCTCCTGCGAGTCTCTATTTTCAACCTTCTGAAACCTCCTGTGCAAGATTTGATGCTGATGTTGATGACATCACCCAAAAACATCAACAGGAGGTTTGCAGACAAAGCTCATATACAGGTAAATGAGGACAATCACATTATGACTGCCTTCCCGTCAACAGTGTTTTAACGCTTTCAAATTTAAGATGCATCTGTATTTGATAGATGTGAAAATGTGCACTCTACGATGAATGGAATACACTGTTTTCTCTGTGACTGCTTGTTTCTCACTGTTAAATTATGGTGGCTCATTGGCTATATTCTTGTTTGTTATTGAGGAAATATGCTTAAATCTTACCATATAAATTTATAAACTGCATTTATATTCTACCTGGAAGCTTCACCACTGCCCTCCATTAGGGAAGTCCAGTTTGTCCACTTCTCATTAAAGTGAGTGTCCAGAGAGGTGTTATAAACTGCATTTATAATTTTAGACACATTAGAGTTATTAGTGGAGTGCTAGAATTCTTATGTCACATATGGAAATATAGTTCTATGAACCATGGTTTAAGAAATCCATTGAAGACAAAGATGAAAATTGTAAAGAGTTACTTGAAAAATTTACTGGAGTGCTAGCTCTCTAAAGACGTGGGAAAATCCTGTATTTTGAAACTTTAAACTGTAATCTTAGAAATATGAGCAACGCTTCCTGTAAACTTCATTACAGATTCCATTCTTTCAGCTGTAACATTTGTATATCTTTTTCTTCATTCACATTTGTCCTTTTAATCACATGGCTGGTGATCGTAGAAATCACCTTATGATTAGTCACTGCAGAAGTGAATGCATAATGGTCTTTATAAGATATTCTGATCTGCCCCCTTGCTTCTCTGGTCAACTCTACTTTGGGTAATTGGATATTGGAATCGGTTTCGATGTCCCCTCATGAGTACACTGAGTGATGAAAAAACTCATACAGTCAGAGTTAAGGGGGCTGACTGAAATTTCACCTAGAGTTTTAGACTCCGGGAAGGTTGAATTAAGTAAACACAAAGCCATGCCATTACATATATGAGACATTCCTTCCTTGAACTCAATCTTCTTATCAGGTTAGAGTGTGGAGACAGAGCACTGGGTTTGCCTCATGATGTCGTCTAAAAATGTGGTTTGTTTGCAATAGCATCTTCTGTAGACTTGTGGTGTCCAGACCAGCCTCTATACAACTGTTGATTTAGGATACTGTGCGAAATCATATCTTCCATGCAGTGAAAGTTTGTCTGGGGACTCAGTGCTCAGCACTTTGTCATCTGTGCCTGTGACATCCTGCTATTCAAGATTTATGGATGTCAATGGGAGTTTAATATGTACCTCCATGGCTTTGTAGGCCTTTTAGGCATGGTTCCTGAAAACAACTCTGCTGCTACTAAGAAGAGTGCAATGGCCTCTTAATAGGAAGCTGTGTGGAGAATTAGTGGGCAGCGAGTACACATGCAGAGTCATCAGTCACCCTGTTTCTGTCTCTCAGATCACTGCATGGAGGGTTGGAGATATGCTGTATACTGGTTTTTTTGTTTGTTTGTTTTTTTGTCTACTGAGATTTCTCTTCTTGTGCACAACATGTATATATCACTCAGTATCATTCACCTGCAAAAACTCTGTTGTAAAGTTTTATTCCCAGGCCTCTGGAAGCAGGGACTGCCCTGCACCAACTTATGAGAAATATTTTTTGTACTCTGCTTACCTGCTATCTTGATGGCTTTAGGGTTGGCCAAAGGCAATATAATTCCACCATGTGAGTATCAACAGAGTGCACAGTCCTGCACAGTTCCTGATGGAGCCTGTAGAAAGAAGCAAAGTAAATTAGAACAGGTTTTCTGAAAGGTTTGAAGGTAAAGTTGACCTTGGGTTACTTGAAGAAGAAATCCCCGTACCAAGAAAACATGATCCTGAATGCAGAAATATGATTTCTGTTCCCTGTCACTGAAATTTCTTATTCTTGCCTTATATCATCTGGAAGTCATGTCTTCCAAAAAGGTTAGTGGGATCCTGAATATACTCTGCTAAATGCTGTCCTAAAATGGGGTTTTCTGGGATATGTGAAAAACAGGCATCTTCCTTTCAAGAAGTGGATGCTGACGCTCTAATGACTAGGTAGTGGGGAAGGAGAAAGAGGATAAGAGTCCTTGGAGCTTGATGGTACCTTCCTGAAGGAGTGGCACCTGGGTTTCGAATGTTGCCTAGAAAAGAAAAGCCAGTTTACTATTCTCTCCCTACATGCCCACTTGTATCTGGAGGCAAAAGTTTTTTGCTGATGTCTTTACTTGCTTACTTTTCTTAAAAAAATAATAATAATATTAAAAAACATATTTATTTTGAAATAACTGCAGATTTACATAAATGCACATAGGTAAGTACAGACAGTTTCATATACCATTCAGCTAACTAGAATGTTAATATATATTATAACCATAGCATATTCATGAAAACTAAGAATTTAACTGTTTTTCGAGATTATTAACTGATCTACAAACTTCCTTCATATTTTACCAGGTTTTTTAATAATCATATACTTATCTATTCCAGGACCTAATCCAGAATACCACCTTACAATTACTGTCAAGTATATTACTTACTACTTGGTGCATAACAAATTAGTACGTACCTTAGTGGCTCAGAACCACACACATATTACTCACGGTTTCTCTGGGTCTTCGGTCTAGATGTAGGTGATGGCTCAGGCTGAGGCTCAGCTGGGGAAGGGTCTCCTTCCAAACTCACATGATTGTTCTTAGGATTCACTTCCCTTCCCTCATCAGGAACTCACTGATGTGTTATTAAAATCACAGAAAATTAATACTAATTTATCAAAAATATTTCAAAACAATACAATAATAATAAAGAAGTAGAAAATAGATTACTTCCCATTGTATACTATGAATTCGTTTACCCTGATTGAACAACTACACAAATATATTTCAAATAAGGAGAATGAAGACCAATATGCCTTATAAATACAGAGACAAAAATCACCAGGGAGACATTATCAAATGAAATCAGCAACATGTAGAAAGTATTATAAACTATGGCAAAAGGTATTTACCTCAGGAATGCAAGTTTGGTTCAACATATGATACAATTAATGTCATACACTATATTAATAAAGAATAAAAACTACACAATCATCTCAGAAGGTGTGCAACAAGCACTTGAAAATTCCCAGATTCAGTATTATAAAAACATGCAGCAAATTAGGCAGATAAGAGAACTTTCTTCATTTCAAAGGGCATCTATGAAAAGCTCACATATCATCATAAGTAATCTGAAAGGTTCACTAATTTCTCTGATATTAGAAACAAGTCACCTATTTCCACTGTTCACACTTGTTTGCAACATTGTACTGGAGAATGTAGACAGGGCAAATCATTTAGAAAAATATAATATTTCTAATATGGAAAGGAAGTCAAACTCTCACTGTTTGCAAATGACATGATCTCATGTATAAAAAGTCCAAAGGACTCTAATCAAACATGTTTAGAATTTAAAGATGAGTTCAAAGAAGTTTGCAGTATATAAAATATATAAAATATTTTAAATTTCTCTATACTAGCAATTAACAATCTAAAAACAAAACTCAGAAAATCGTTGCAATTGAGATCACATCAAAAATACTTAGGAATAAGCTTATCAAATTAAGTATAAGATATGTACACTAAAAACGATAGAACGCATATTGAACAAAATTAATAGAAAATCTTTGAATGCTCATTGTTTAGAAGGGTTAATATTGTTAGGTAGGCAATATTTTCCAAACGGATCTATAGAATTAATGCAACTTCTCTCAAAACCCCAGGTGGCATTACCTTCCCCTAAATTCAGAAGCTTATCCTAAAATTATATATAATATAGATACTGAGCAGCCAAAACACTCTTGAGAAGGACAAAAAGGGTTTGCATAGTAGACATATGCTTCCTGATTTCAAAACTTACTACAAAGTAATAGTAATCAAGATTTGTGGTACTAATATAGGGATATATGTATTGATCAATGGAGTAGAATATAATACTCAAAAATGAATCCTTACATTTATGGTGAAATGCTTTTATAATGTGGCCAAATAAATTAGGTATGAAGCAATATTTTCTTGTCAAATGTTTCTGGGTCAAGTGGATATCCACATGCAAGTTAGACTCTTGCCTCATACCAGAAACATAATTGACTCAAAATGATAATCCATCTAAACATAAGAGCTAAACAGACCAAACCCATAAAAAGGAACACAGGAATACATCTTTGTGGTCTTTGGTTAAACAATGTTTTAAGATATGACACTGAAAAATTACAAAGAAAAGTAGAAAATATAGAAATGATAAACCTCATTAGAATTAAAACCTTTTGCAATTTAAAGTCCACCATCAAATACAAAGAGGCACCCAAAGAATGGCAGAAAATATTTGAAAATTGCAAATTTTATAGGTGGTAATGGTCTATTATCCAGAATACGCAATGTCTTACAACTCAAAATTAAAAAGGCAAATATCCCAATCAAAAATGGCAAAATCTTACATAGCCAATTCTCAAAAAGCCATAGTCGTATCCAAAATCACATGAAAATATGCTCAATGTCTTTTGTCACTATGAGGTAAGAGACTGGAAGGACTTGTTTTCTGGTTTCACAGCCTTGATGACCAAAATAAGATCTGCTCCAGATAGGATAAAGTGAAAAAACTGGCAGAAGCCTGTACATTGTGGCAAATGTCACCCTGGCAGTCTTCATTTGTCACTCACATAAGACACTCCTACCAACCACATAACTCTTTACAAATTCCATGGCCACAACTCAGAAGTTACTGCCCTTTCCATGGAGACAACCTAGAAGTCACTGCCCCTTTCCTGCCTCAATTTGCATTGACTGCCCCTCAATTTGCATGTAATTAAAAGTGGGTTTCATTGCATATAAATACAGTTGCCAAGAGGCCTATATGTTGCCACCTCTGAATACACTGCTTAAGAGTTAACCCTGCTCCGCTAGGAGCACTACCATTCAATAAAATATTGCAGTCTAACATCACCCACTTGCCCTTAAATTCTTTCCTGGACAAAGCTAATAACAAAGTAATTGTCCATCAACGATAGACTGTATAAAGAAAATGTGGCACATATACACCATGGAATACAACGCAGCTATAAAGAAGAACCAGATGATGTCCTTTGCAGGGACAGGAATGGAGCTGCCAGTCCATTATTCTTAGCAAGCTAACACAGGAACAGAAAACCAAATACCTCCATGTTCACTTATAAGTGGGAGCTAAATGATGAGAACACATGGACACATAGAGGGGAACAACACACTCAGAGTTCCTGAAACCATTGGTCTGGATTCCGATGAATGGGGCAATCAGACACACAAGCACACCAAGGCTTAACCATTCTGGCCACTGGAAGGGAAAGAAACTACCCAGGAATGCCACCTGCTTCCAACTAGCTGGTCCCATGATTGGGGCTCTAGGGAATTTCTCTTTACCTGCTGAGATGTTTCTGTCTTGGGGAACTTCCTTTCTCTTCTTGCCACTGCACCAGGTGCTGACTACACTTCCTTACCACAGGGCAAGTGACATCTGAAGAGGCTGACAGACTTCAGAGCTGGGTAAGGCAACCAGAATACCCCCTGAACTGCCTCTGCCTGTTCTGTGATGTCACCTGACCTCTGCTCTGTTTACATATAGCTGCTTGTGACATCATCTGGGCATGTATGGTATCTGTATCTATGTCAAGACCTGGGCTTTGCTCCACTTGGAGTCAGCTGATTGGCAGGAGGGCATCTGAAATTGAGAGGAGGTTTCAGGCCGTTTACCCAGCCCTTTAGTGGGGATCTGTCCGGGACTCTGCAGTCTGAACCTGCAACTGTAAAAGGTACAATATCTACATTTAGGCCCTCATCTCTGTCTCTCTCTCCTCCTCCTCCTTTCCTCTGCAGGGTGATCTGCATAAGCCCCACTCCATCCAGGATCCAGCCCTGGAGGGAAATAGCCTCCACTGCCCTAGCAGGGTCACTCTTTTTGGGGCCCTGGAGTACTTCTCACAACTGTGCCAGTTTTTATGGGGAAAGGAAGGATGTGAACTATTCCATAGGTTATCTAAAGGGCTTGCCACCATGCTTACGGTGCTTAATGTTGTTTATGTGAAAAAAAGCTTAACAGCATATGGGTTAAGTGTTTAGGCAGTCCTGACTCCAACCCCTCTGCCCTTTTTATCTGCCTAATTTACCATTTAATTTGTTGCCATTCGGTTACCCTCTACTAGGGTACTAAGTACAGCAGAACATGGACCTGGGATGAAGTTGATGTGCTGTTGGGGCTGGGCGGGGGGCGGAGTGGGGGTGGTGGTGGGGGAGTGCTGTGCTAGCTGGTGCTAATCAGTAGCCTGCCCAAGGAATTTATTCTCTGATCTCTTTGGCTGTCCCAGCTGTGTGGTGTGATTTGCACAAGTGTTCCTTTAGGACCATGAGTGCTATTACTGCACTACTTATATGAAGCTAGAAAAGTCTTTCCAACCCACAGAGGTCTGGTTGAAGGACATGAGCAGTGCAGAACAGAAGAGAGACAACAAATAAAAGTGGTCATCACTGTTTCAACTGGGAAGAGCAGTATGGATATAGAAACCAAGTCAGGAGGGGAAACAAGGTCTCTATCCCCTCTGGGAGCCCCTGGGGCATACCCTAGCTAAGTGTAGATCCTATACCTATGAGCCCTTGACTAAGAGAAAAACGGTCTATTATTGCAGTGCTGTTTGGACTGTGGACAAGTTAGGTTATAAATTTTGACCTCTGACTGGACGTAACCAATACTAGTCTTTAATGCAGTTAGACTCATTTTGTCAGAGGTCTGGAAAATTAGAAAAAATACCATATGTCCAAGCCTTCATGCTTTTTGAAAATCAGGATTCATACCATGAGGGAAGACGCCAGCTGCCAGCTGTACCAAGGGACAGAATGGAAAAAGGACTCTTCACAAGCCAGATAGCCAAACTCAGGCAGAAAGCAATGAAGAAGAATTAGGACTTTTAAATGTCCTACACCCAAGCTGTTTTAGCAGCTCCAACCACCACAGCCAGAACGCACCTGGCCTCTGCTCCACCCCAACAGCTCCCACTGCGGTACCGCCATACGGGGCCCTTAGCGCCGGCCTCTGCGTTGGCCCGGATTGCCTTGATGCTACCAAGTGAGGCATCAGACCAATAAGAGGGAGCTACTCTGCCTCCTCAGTATAATGAGATAACAGAGATGGCCTCTCCCTCCAGTGCTTGACAGGGTACACAATTAAGCAAGGAAGTGCCATTTCAGGAATGCTAAGAATCCTCATCTCAGAATGAGGAATGACTTCCATGAAGCTGAATGTCTCTTCCAAGTTTCTAGGTCACAGGAGCTCATTTTCTCACTGTCACTATTACCATGGTGTAGAAAATAGACCCCATGTTTATAAACCAAAAAACAAGTCAACATTATACATGGCCATTGGTGTGCAGAATGAAGTCTGATGTCTTTGTGGGTTTTTAGGCATGGTCCCTGGAAACAACCCTGGTGCTGTCCAGCAGCGTGTTGAACAGGAAGTTGTGTGTGCGGTGAGTGGAGAATCCTTCCTGCTCTGGGATTCTCTGTTTAGCCAGCACATATGCAGAATCACCACTCAGCCTCTGTCTATCTCTTAGATCACTGCTGGAGGGTTGAGGATATGTTGTATTTTCTTCCTTCCTATCCTTCCTTCCCTTTTTTGCCTCTTTCCTTCTTTCTCTCTTTCCTCTCTCTCTCTCTCTCTCTTTCTTTCTTGGGTCTGACTTTATTGCTCAGGCTGCAGTGCAGTCACACAATCACGGCTCACTGCAGCCTTGACCTCTTGGGCTCAATCCATCCACCTGCCTCAGCCTCCTGAGTAACTGGGACCACCAGGGTGTGCCATTATACTCAGCTAATTTTACTATTTTTTTGTAGAGAAACAGTTTTTCCATGTTGCCCAGGCTGGTCTTGAACTCCTGGACTCAAGCCATCCACCCACTTTGGCCTTCCAATGCGCTGGCATTACAGGCATAAGCCACCACACCTGGCCTGTTGTTTTGCCTCTATCAGGTTTTCCATGCCTGTGCAAAAGCTATTTTGAATCTCAGCTGCCAAAAATCTGGTGTGAAAAGATTTTTTTGTCCAGGTCCAGATAAGTAGAAACTGCCAAAACCACCAACAACCATATATATATATATATATATATATACATATATATCTTTGTATTCCACTCACCTGCTGTCATGATGATGCCCATTTGGTGACTTTGGGGCTTGGGGATTGCTGATATAATTCTGGTATTCAACAGAATACAAGGTTCCATAAAATTCCTGATGGAGATCGTGGAGTGAAAAGAAATTATCACAGAATTCCAACAAGGCTTGAAGGCAGAATTATCTTTAGAAAACTAAGCCTGTATTAATAAAAAAAACATAATATGAAAATATAATTTATATTTCTTGTCACTAACATTCCTCAATCTTGGTCTTTGGCATCCAGAAACTTTGTCTGCCAAAATATGTTCAGTGGGATCCTGTAGATATGTTCCTAAATGATATCTGAAAATGGGCCTTTCTGGGGTATGTGAGGCATAGGCAAATATCTCTGAAAACAGAGAGGTTACTGACACTCAAACGAGTTACTTGGTAATAAAGAGTGTGATGGGGAGGTCAAATATGGACAAGAGTTCCTTGAGTTTGATAGTGGCTTCCTGAAGTAGATGGATGTATGTATGGAAGGGTAAATGTATGCGAAAATCTGCTTGGCTATTTTTTTTCTGTATGTCCATTCATCTTCTGAGGCCAATTTTTTGTTTGAGTCTTGATCTCCCTCTGTTTCCCAAGCTGGAGTGCAGTGACACAATCATGGCTCACTTCAGTTTGGAACTCCTGGGCTCAAGCAATCCTCCCAAGTCAGCCTCCCCAGAAGCTGGGATAACATATGCATGCCTGTCTTTTTTAATTAAAAATAAAAAATCAAAGATTTCATTTTAAAATAATTTTAGATACACATAAAGATGCAAACATAGTATAGCTAGTTTTACATACCCAGGAGTTTACTAGAATGTTACATCTTATTTATATACCCATAATGTATTTATGAAAACTAATAAACTTACAGTGGCTTAAAACTATTAACTGAACTACAGACTTTCTTCTGAGTTTACCAGGTTTTCTAGTAATGCCATTTTTCTGTTCCAGAATCTAATCCAGGGTAGTATTAGAAATTAAATGTGCTATCTTTTGTATTAGTTATCAGTTGCTGCACAACAAATTGCCACATAGTGTGATGGCTCAAAATCACACACACATTACTTACAGTTGCTCTGGGCCAGGAATCCAGATGTAGATGATGTCCACGGCTGAGGTCTCAACTGAAGGCTCATCTGGAGAAGGATTCCCTCAAAGCTCATGTGATAGTTGCTAAGATTCCATTTCCTACCCTGGACTGATCACGGTGGGTCAAACTTGTAATCCCAATGCTTTGGTAGGTTGAGGCAGGAGGATTACTTGAGGCTAGGGGTTCAGGACCAGCTTGGGCAACATACTTAGAACCTGTTTCTACCACACAAAAAAAAGGAAGGAAGAAAAGAAGAAAAAAGATTAGCCAGACATGGTGGCATGTGCCTGTGGCCCCAGCTACTCAAGTGGCTGAGGCAAAAGGATTGCTTGACCCCAGGAGTTCAAGTCTGCAGTGAGCTACATTCATGCCACTGTGCTCCAGCCTGGATGCAGAGTGAGACCCTGTTTGTGAAAAAAAAAAAATTTCCTGACTTGGTCAAGAAGACATCACCAGTGAATGATTTTACATCTTCAAATAATTAATACCAATTTATCATATATTTTTCAAAAAATAAACAGTAAACCCCAAGCCTGTGGCACCTAGCAGTGAAATGAGGAGCAAGCAACAGAGCCAAGCATTTTGAGATAATGTGGTCTTGTCCCTCCGTCCATCAGCCATAATCACTTGCAATTCAAATTCCACTTCCCAGAGAGGGAGGAAACTGGTGGCAGCCACATGTGCAGCACAGCAGTGTCAGCTCCAGCAACACCGCAGTCCCCAGGGTGTGCCTGCGGCTTCACGGATGTCACCTGCTGCACTGGTTTGCCAACTGTTTGTTTTTCTAAGTCCTCATCTTGGAATAGGTAACAACTTTAATAATAATATTTAAATCCTTGTTTTGCTCAACTTTTAAGTTTTTAAAAACTGTGATATTCCATTTTTTATAGATATTTATGAAGGCTCACAAAATGTGTCACTTCAAATGTCTACATGTTAGGTCTCCTGAGCATACAAACTAAATTGACCTTAATGAAATACCAGAATTAAATCTGATATTTCTTTTAAATAATGAGGACCTGTTAACCCACATTTTCATCTTTGTCTATACTTGTAGGTAATGTATTTAAAGAAAGAAATATGCAAAACAATGAAATCATATTAAAAAGAGTAATTTATCACCCACCTTTCTCTCTCCCTTTCTAGTGTTTTCTAAATCTCCATCTATGTAGCCCAATTACATCTTTTTACTACTCTGATTTGGTTTTATTCACTTATACAATATAATTGTTTGCAAAGTCTGAAAATTATCTTGAAAAAATGTACATTTTTTCTCCTTTTCATGTGTTCAATTCTATTTGTGCTAGATCAATTTAGACCTTTCACATAAAAAACAGTAAGAGCAACACGAAGAATAGATCACTTTCCAATCTGAGTTATCAGCCTTATACCACAGCTAGACAAAGTTACTGAAGAAAAACTATGATCAATATGACTTATGAACATAAAAACAAAAATTAAAGGGAATACTATCAAAGCAAATAACTGGCATGTAAAAATTTATAAATTTTGATGAAGGTATACATCTTACGAATGCAAATTTAGTTCAACATACGAAAAGAATTGGTGCCATAAACTATATTAAGAGATAAGGGACACAATACACATGGTCATCTTAAAAGATGAGCAATAAGCACCTGCTAAAGTGAAATTTCATTCCTTATAAAACCATGCAAAAAGTTAGGCAAATAAGAAAAGTTTCCTTATCATGAAAGCACAGAAAACCTCACATGACATCCTAAATCTTCTGAGAAGCTCAAGAACTTTCTTGTAAAATTAGAAACAAGAGAAGGATATCACTTTCACAGTATTAGTCGCCACTGTACTGGAGGATGTGGCCAAGGTAATTGGTGTAGAAAATAAACATAACGCAGTCCGATTGGAAGGAAAGTCAAATTATGTCTCCAAATGACATGATCCTGTCTATAGACATCATAAAATCTCTAATAAAACATAACAAAATATGAAAAAAGGGATAAGCAGGCTTGTAGTACAGCTTAGTACAGGTCAATATACAAAATCAACTGTATTTTTATTTATTAGCAATTAACAATCTAAAAACAAAATTTCAAAAACCATTTCATGTAAAATGGCATAAAAGTTAAATACCTATGAATTAATTTAATAAAATAAGTATAAGATACATATACTGAGGACTACAAAACATATCAAACAAATTAATACTATTATAAATTAAATACATTGAGCTTTCACTGATTAGAAAGCTTAGTATCATTAGCTTGCTGGTACTTTCCAAATATATCTAATGCAATCCCTAGCTAAATCCTAGGTGACATTTTCTCCCCTAATTGACAATTTTACTCTAAAATTCATATATAATGCAATAGAATTCCAGAACAGACAAAATAATTTTGAAAAAGAACAAAGTTTGTGTAGTAAAATGCTACTTTCTGATTTCAAAACATACCACAAAAGCAATAGTAATCAAAATTGTGTTAAGGATATGGAACAACAAAAGACCCAGAATAGCCATAGCTATCCTAAGCAGAAAGAACAAAACTAGAGGAATTACATTACCTGACTTCCAATTATACTAGAGAGCTATAGTAAATGAAACAGCAAGGTATTGGAATAAAAATACCCATATAGACCTATGGAACAGAATAGAAAACCAAGGAACAAATCCACAACCCTACAGTTATGTCATTTTTGACAAAGTTGCCAAGAAGGTACACTGGGGAAAAAGCCAGTCTCTTAAATAAATGGTGCTGGGAAAACTGGTTATCCATATGCAGAAGAATGAAACTAGAACTCTGTCTCTCACTGTATGCAAAAAATCAAGTCAAAATGGATTAAAGACTTAAATTGAAGACCTCCAACTACGAAAGTACTACAAGAAAACATTAAGGAAACTCTCCAGTATGTTGGTCTAGGAGAAAATTTCTTGAGCAATATCCCACAAGCATACGCAACCAATGCAAAAATGGGCAAATGAGATCATATCAAGTTAAAAGCTCCCGTACAGCATAGGATATAATCAACAAAGTGAAGCGACAATCCACAGAATGGGAAAAAATATTTGCAAACTACCCATCTGATGGATTAATAACTAGAATATATAGGCAGCTCAAACAACCCTATAGGAAAAAAGTCAAATAATCCAACCAAAAAAGGACAAAATATTGGAATAAGTATTTCTCAAAAGACATACAAATGGCAAACAAGCATATGAAAAGGTGCTCAAAATCATTAATCATCAGAGAAATGCAAATCAAAACTACAATGAGATATCATCTCACCCCAGGTAAAATAGCTTTTATCCAAAAGACAGGTAATAACAAATGCTGGTGAGGATGTGGAGAAAAGCAACCCTTGTACACAGTTGGTGGGAATGTAAATTAGCACAACCACTATGGAGAACAGTTTGGAGGTTCCTCAGAAAACTAAAATTGAGCTACCAAATATACCCAGCAGTAGGCTGCTGGATATATACCCCAAAGAAAGGAAATCAGTATATCAACGAGATATCTGCACTCCTATGCTTGTTGCAGCACTGTTTACAACAGCTAAGATTTGGAAGCAATCTAAGTGTCCATCAACAGATGACTGGATAAAGAACATATGGTGCATATAAACAGTGGAGTACTATTAAGCCATAAAAAATAAAGAGACCCAGTCATTTGTAACAACAGGGATAAAACTGGAGATCACTATCTTCAGTGAAATAAACCAGGCACAGAAAGACAAATATCACATGTTGTCACTTATTTGTGGGTTCTAAAAATCAAAACAGTTGAACTCATGGATACAGAGAGTAGAAGGATGGTTAACAGAGGCTGGAAATGGTAGCAGTGGGCTGGGGGAAGGTAGGGATGTTTAATGGTTACAAAACAAATAGAAAGAATGAATAAAACAAACTGTTTGATGGCATAACAGGGTAACTATGAAAGTCAATAATAATTGTATATTTTTACAAAACTTAAAAAGCATAATTGAATTGTTTGTAACTCAAAGGATAAATGCTCATAGAGATAGTTGTCCAATTCTCCATGATGTGTGCTTATTTCACATTACATGCCTGTACCAAAACATATCATGTACCGTGTGTGTGTATATCTACTACGTGAGAAGGAGAGATGTTGTGGGAAGTCAGAGACCCGGAACCGAGGGACTGGCTGAAGCCATGGCAGAAGAACGTGGATTGTGAAGATTTCATGGACATTTACTAGTTCCCCAAATTCAGACTTTTATAATTTCTTACTCCTGTCTTTACTGCAATCTCTGAACATAAATTGTGAAGATTTCATGGACACTTATCACTTCCCCAATCAATGCCCTTGTGATTTCCTATGCCTGTCTTTACTTTAATCTCTTAATCCCATCATCTTCGTAAACTGAGGAGGATGTGTGTCGCCTCAGGACCCTGTGATGATTGCATTAACTGCACAAAGTGTTTGTAGAGCATGTGTGTTTGAACAATATGAAATCTGGGCACCTTGAAAAAAGAACAGGATAACAGCAATGTTCAGGGAACAAGAGAGATAACATTAAACTCTGACCGCCAGTGAGCTGGGCAGAACAGAGCCATATTTCTCTTCTTTCAAAAGCAAATGGGAGAAATATCACTGAATTCTTTTTCTCAGCAAGGAACATCCCTGAGAAAGAGAATGCGATCCTGAGTGTAGGCCTCTAAAATGGCCACTTCGGGGGCAGCCATCTTTTATGGTCAAAGATGTATGGATGAAATAAGCCCTAGTCTCCCATAGCGCTCCTAGGCTTATTAGGATGAAGAAATTCCCGCCTAATAAATTTTGGACAGACTGGTTGTCTGCTCTCAAATGCTGTTTCCTGATAAGATGTTATCAATGACAATGCATGCCTGAAACTTCATTAGCAATTTTAATTTTGCCTCAGTCCTGTGGTCCTGTGATCTCGCCCTGCCTCCATTTGCCTTGTGATATTCTATTACCTTGTGAAGCACGTGATCTCTGTGACCCACACCCTATTCGTACACTCCCTCCCCTTTTGAAAATCACTAATAAAAACTTGCTGGTTTTACGGCTCGGGGGGCATCACGGAATCTGCCGACCTGTGATGTCTCCCCCAGACACCCAGCTTTAAAATTTCTCTCTTTTGTACTCTGTCCCTTTATTTCTCAGACCCGCCGACACTCAGGGAATCTAGAAAAGAACGTACGTGAAATATCGGGGGTGAATTTCGCCTGATATCTGGCTGAATTTCCCCCAATAGTGAGACATATATATCAATGGAATAAAATCAAATGTCGAAAATTAATTCTTACATGCATGGTAAAACAATTTTACAAGGTTGACAGGTCAATTCAATATAAAGAAATATTTCCTCACACAGTGTTGCTGGGACAAATGGACATTTACATGGAAGTTATCTCCTCCCTAGCACCATATGCATAATTGACTCAAATTAATTATGCATCTAAATATAGGGGCCAAATAGACCAATTCCATAGAACATAAGAATACATTTTCATCGCTGAAATAAATTGGATCTTTGTCCCCACCAAATCTCATGTCAAATTGTAATCTGCAGTGTTTGCCATGGGATCTGGTGGGAGGTGATTGGCTCCTGAGGGTGATTTTCATGAATGGTTTTAGCACCACTGGTGTTGTTCTCCTGATAGTGGGTGAGTTCTCACAAGATCTGGTTGCTTAAAAGTGTGTAGCACTCCAGCCCCTCTCTTCATCCTGCTCTGGCCGTGTGAAGTGCTGGCTCCCCCTTTGCCTTCCACCATGATTGGAAATTTCCTGAGGCCTTCCCAGAAGCAGAAGTCACTATGCTTCCTGTACAGCCTGCAGAACCATGAGCCAATTAAGCCTCTTTTCTATATAAATTACCCAGTCTCAGTATTTCTTTATACCAATGGGAGAACAGACTAATACAGTAGCCTTGGGTTAAACAATGGTTTCTAAGCTATGACACCTAAAGCAAATGAACATAATTTTAAAAAGACATAAAGAACTTCATCAGAAATCAAGTATTAAAATTAAAAAACAGACATATTGAACTCATTACAAAAAAGTATTGTGTGACTCAAAGTACATGGTTAAAAGTAAAAAGGCAACACCAAAGAATGAGAGAAAATCTTCAAAAATCTCATAGCTAATTAGGGTCTGTTATCCAGAATAGATAAAAAGTCTTACTTCTCGAAAATAAAAAGGCAAACATCTTAATCAAAAATGGCAAATAATTTGAAGAGTCATTTTTCCAAAAATGTTGTAGTTTTGTCCAATAAACACGAGAACATGCTCAATTCTTTTGTTATTCAAGAAATGCAAATCTAAACAACCATAAGATATACTTTACAAACCTAAACAGCATTTTGATAACTAAATAAAACGAGTTGGAAAAGGCAAAATACTATCTGATGCCATTTATATAACACTCTGAAAAAGAAAAAAGTACAGAGACAGTAAAGTATTCGGTGAGTATGAAGGGATTGGACCACAGAAAATTTGAATCAGTAAAGTACAAGAAATGTCTCTGGGGCTGTGAAATTGTTCTATACGACAACGTGACACTGAATATGTGACACTGTTATTCAAGACCTACAGAACTTCATAACACACAGATGGTAAAATAAAAACCTTATTTAGGCCAGGCGCCATGGCTCACACCTGTAATCCCAGCACTTCGGGAGGCTGAGGTGGAGGGGATCACTTGAAGACAGTTGTTTGACACCAGCCTGGCCAACATGGCAAAACCCTGCCTCTACTAAAAATACAAAACACAAAAATCAGGCATGCATGGTGGCACATGCCTATAATCCCAGCTACTTGGGAGGCTGAGGCAGGAGAAGTCCTTGAACCTGGGAGGCAGAGGTTGAGGTAAGCCAAGATCACACCACCGAACTCTAACCTGGGCAACAGAGCGAGACTGTATCCAACAAAAAAAAAAAAAAAAAAAAGCCTTATTTAGTTGATAGAGAGAGATTAACTAAATATTATAACTGTATAACAAATGTGTGAAATAAGCTCACTAGAGTGGGAAAAGGGGGCTAACCTAAGTAAATTAGGAAATAGAGGGAAATTCTGAGATTCTAAGTCAAAAGGACAAATAATTTGTATATAAGGACTTAGTTTTAGTTGGTAAAGTAGTTTCCCAGGGGTGTATAAATTACTACTTTTGAAAACACTATGCATGTTTTTTTGGATGATATCATTATGTTAATAAAGCCAACTAGTTCCATGTTAGAGGTGCAAGCTACATACAAGCGAGTTGGAACAGGTAGACAGCTTCATGTGGTACTGAATTAGATCATGTGCTGCCAGAAACATTACGTGGAACTCATGGTTAGTTTAATATAGATACCTATGCATACATGTTGAAGTATTTATACACTTGTATATATTTGTAAGTCAGTAAACACATGGGTATTCTTTTGCTCAGTCAGCTGACACGGCCTCAAGTCATCAGATGCCCTAGGGGCAATGAATATACCACAGTCTCTAGATCTTCATTTCTAATCCCATTTTCCATTCAAAGGAACTAGGGCATTGTGAAGAAACGGTGGATAAAATAGGGTTAGACAGCGAATAAACACAATCAGCCTGCAGCACCTAGTAGTGCCAGAAGAAAAGAAAATGCCAACCAACGATGCAACAAACCAAACAGCCACACAACACCAACAAACCATAATTATGGGGAGATTTCAAAATTATAGACGATCCAACTGAAAGAAAGTCCCAGCCGGGAGCGGTGGCTCACGCCTGTAATCCCAGCACTTTGGAAGACCAAGGCGAGCAGATCATGAGGTCAAGAGATCAAGACCATCCTGGATAACATGGTGAAACCTTGTCTCTACTAAAAATACAAAAAATTACCTGGGCATGGTGGCAAGCGCCTGTAGTCCTAGCTACTCAGGAGGCTGAGGCAGGAGACTGGTGTGAACCCAGGAAGCAGAGGTTGCACTGAGTCGAGATCGCGCCTGTGCACTCCAGACTGCGTGACAGAGCGAGACTTCATCTCAAAAAAAAAAAAAAAGGAAAAAAAAAGAAAAAGAAAGTTTCTTGGACAATACTGAAGCAATTTGAGCAATAAGCCAAATAAATTATTTCAAGTGAAGTGTAAAATAAGTACCCATATTTGTCTATGGGTAGAACAATGATGGAATAATATGGAACAATTGAAGAAGAATAGGCATTTGTTCATTGTGATTAATTCCAAATAATTTTTGCAGACACTCTGCCCCTAGGAAGTGGAACATAAGTCTTCACTTCTTATTTGTGTGTTGTGTGTAGTGACTTCTTTTTGAAACATACAACATGGAAAGGAGAAGAAAAAAACAGTAATTTCACAGTGCAGAAATTTGATTGGAACTATCTCATTCAGGTGATTAAATTAACATCAAAAGTGATAAAGCTGTTGCAGTCTGTACCCTTAACAGGATGTGATGAGAATGGCAATTTCCCTCTGTGGTCTTCCTCCCTGAAACCTACAATCCATTCTAATCATGAAAGAAACACCAAAGAAATCCCAAATTAGGAATGCCAATGTCATAGCAATCATGCAAACTTGGAGAAATTGTCACAGTCAAAGTCGATTAAGGAGCATGAATTGTAAATGTAATGAGGTATCCTGGATAGGATCCTGGAACAGAAACTCGACATTAAATGATGACTAAATCAATCTGAATAAAGCGCGGATGGTTAATAATAGTGTAATATTGGTTGGTTCATTGTGACTAATATCCCACACTAATGTAAGGGGGTTATTAAGGAACATGGTGTATGGAGTCTGTGGAAACTCTATATTATATTTGGAACTGCTCTGTAAATCTAAAACTATTCTTAAATTTCAAAAGTTTATTTTATTTTAAGCCTTTGCTGAGCTTATAAAACAGAAAGAACATTAACAATATTATTGATGTCCCCTGAATGTATCTCCTGAATTTCATCATCTATGTTAACAGCTGAAGGTAACTATTATTATGGATTATCTTTGTCAGTCTCTAATTTTCTGATATTCATTTTTCCTGTATGTTTGTATATATAAATATTATATTGTTTTGTCTCATCTTTAAATTTAAATAAATATAAATATTGAAAATATTGAATTTAATCCATATCCCTAGTCTAATTATGAGAAGACATCTGACAAATTCATACTGTGGGAAATTTTACAATAGAACTGACCAGTCCTTGTCAAAAGGGTCAAGGTAATAGAAAATAAGTGAAGACTGAAAAACTATCTCATATTGGAGAAGATCAGATGTGGTAGGTAGAACCTAAGATGGCACCCAACGACTCCCACCTCTAAGTATAAGTGAAGTTGATAAGTAACTTCATATTTTAATTCCTTCTAATGAATGTAGTCAGAAACTGTGAGTTGCTTAAAATCAACAGAATACTACAATGGTGATGGGACATTAGCAGGATGATTATATTATGTTAGATTGTGATTCTTGTCTTGCTAGCAAAGTCCCTCCCTTGATGGCTTTGATGGAACATTTGCCATATGGGAGAAGCCAACATGGGAGGAAACTAAATTCAGAAACAGGCCAAAGCAAGCAAAGAACTGAGGCCCTTGGTCCAAAACCCTTACCCAGAGTTTGCAATATTACATTTAAAATGAATCCAAGATACTTCTCAAAAAGTGTTTTTTGAAAAAACACTGTATCACTCACAGGTAGTGTGAATATCTTAGAATAACAAAATAATCTTAACTCTTTTGTTCTCCCTATTAGTGCTGTCATTCCTTTCACTTATACATGAGTACACATGCACATATACATGTATATTTATATACATATAACATATAGACATAAGCATGCCTAATCAAATAGATTGGTGCTACTATTATTTTCCAGAAACCATTATCTGTGAGACTAAATTAAGAATATGAAAAATGAAAGTTTTATTCCATAGGGCAACCATTAAAATAGTCAAAAAAAAGTTATATAATTGATATGCTAAGAATGGAGAGAAAACAGAATTGCATAAAATTCTCAATTAAAACCACAAAACACAGAAAATAAATGAAGTACAATAAAGGGAAGAAAGAACAAGGGCAACAAATCAAAAAGAGTAACACATATGGTTGATATTAATCCAACTCCATTGGTTGTCAGTAATCTAAAAGCATCAATCAAAGAACTGAGAATGTCAGTGTAGATCAATAAAGTCAACCCAACTAAATGATGTTAAGTAAAATCTATGAAATATAAAGACATGTATACATTTAAAGGAAATAGATGAAACAAAATAGCCTAGGCTAACACTTATCAAATAAAGGAAGAGTTGCTGCATGAATTACAGAGAAGTCCTCAAGCAAGGAAAGTCACTAAAAATAAACACGGGCATTACACAAAGATGAAGGGGTCAGTTCTCCAGTACAACGTAATAATCCTTAAAGCATTTAAGTGCCTAACAACAGAATGTCAAACTATGTAACGCCAAAACTCATATAACTGCAAACAGAAAGAGATTAACTCATTATTATAGTTGGAAACCTCAACAATCTCTGTCAGACAGTATTTGTCTGCAACTGTACAGTTACTGTCATCTATACACAAGGGTTACCTCAGCTCCATCCATCTAAGTGCCAGGCATTTTCAGGAATGGAGATGTGCCTTCGTATATTACCAGAGGCATCTCCTGCAGGGGCTCCACAACAGGGGCAGCACTGGTCTCATAGTGTCTTGGCCCTATGATAGCATGCATCTCCCAAAGGACTCGTGGAGAGGGCGCTACATTCTTGCAGGTATGCATGCCACTTTTGTATAATGGAGACTTGAGAAATAGCTGATATTGGCCTGGAAAACAACCCTTCTATCTAGCCCTTAATGGAGAGATCTGTTCTCATTGTTACTGGCAGATGATCAGTTACAGGCTCAATGTGCTGCATGGCCTTACATGCTCCCAGAACCTGTTGTTCAATTGGAGAACTGTGGGTTTCAGCACATTTCCATAGCTGTGACCAGAATCTTAGAAGAACTGCTTTCCCATGCTGAACGTGCCAGAGGACCTGTTTTGTCCCTTCAGGGTTTACAGTCATATCAAAAGACACTGGTATCCCAGAAGCGGGGAACTAGAGCTTGTGCCTGAGCAATCAATATTTTAGCCTTCTCAAATGCTACCACTTGTTCTTTAGTTCTTTATCCTAGATCTGTTTTTTTGCTTTGACACAGGGTTTCTAGTTCTTTTGCCCAAGTTGGAGTGCAGTGGCACGATCTCAGCTCACTAAATACTCCACCTCCCAGGTTCAAGCAACTCTCATGTCTCAGCCACACAAGTAACTGGGATTACAGGTACACATCACCATGCCTGGCTAATTTCTTGCATTTTTAGTAGAGATGAGGTTTCACCACGTTGCCCATGCTGGTCTCGAACTCCTGGCCTCAAGTGATCTGCCTGCCACGGTCTCCCAAAGTGCTGGGATTACAGGTGTGAGCTACTGTGCCCAGCTGAGATTGCTTCTTTAATAGTCAGTATGGGGATGCAAACATGGAGGTAAACATGGAATGAAAGCCCACTGGTATCCCAAAAGACCTAGGAAACTTTGTAACTGTTTAACTGTTTTAGGTATGGAAAACTGTTATATTTTCTCAATGACCAAGCCTGAAGTAAGGTGTGTCTTACTTGGCCAAGTGATCCATAGGAACTTTGCAGCTGGTTCCAGGCCTTGTACTTTTGTGAGTTGATGGCCCATCCTCTGGATTGAAGAACGGTGTCAATGCATATCCATGTTGCTGTAGCAATGACAAGTCTTCAGAAGTTAGAGTAACATCAATATAATGACTGCAAGTCAAGGTAAAAGGGATGCTAAAGAAGGCATTAGCTAAATCTAACACAGCATGATAAGTGCCTATGTTTTGTATTAATTGCTCAATCACTTGAGTTATATTACATAAAGGAGCATATATCTTAGAAAGATCAGTAGTGTCCACTCATCTACTGTCATATCCAAGTGCCATCAGATTTTCTTATTGGTCACACAGGATGGTTGAAAGGACTCTGGGCTGGCCAGATAATATTAACTTTGGCCAATTTCTCCACGGTGGCTGTGATTTCTTGTATTCTACCAGGAAGATGGTATTGTCTCACATTAACAATACATTGTGGGGGAGGGAGGTGTACACCTTCTAATTTTGCCTCCCATCTTAATATAGCCTTTGTCATAGGTGAGATTCCCCCACAGATGTTTGTAAAGTGCATCCTAAGAAGACATCCATACTCAAGATGTTTTCTGCAATACGTGAGATAAAGACAGGAGAGTAAGCAAAGGGGGAACTCCAGACAAAACTAAGGAGGAGAGGAGTTTGTTTCTCTCAGATTTTTAACCCCTCACAACCATCTATAGCTTCCCACTTACCAGGGTGTCTCTCTGGATTTCCATCAATTAAGACACATTCTGCACCTGTGCCCACTAAAGCTAAGGTTCTCTTAGTGCTGTTTAAGACTCCAATCAATAGTGAGCTCCAAATACGGCCTCTGGTCACCCCCTATTGCTCTTGCACAGAAGCAGCCTTGACCCTACCTATGATCTCCAGGCTGGAAAGAAGTCCACCCCTGAATTTTTACCAAAGGTTTCTTCCTGTCTTTCTCCCTCTTCTCATGGGGGGTGGGGGAGGTAATAAGAAGGTGTCTAAACTATTGATCAGGAGTCAGGTCTTTCCATACCCCACTAATATGCCACTGGGTTGCCCATCTATATTCTCTTTGTCAATCCCAGCTGAAATCAGATCATACCACATTTGTTTCCTAGTAACCTTAATTGTGCCTTTTTAAACTCATTTTTCCAGTCCAGCAGACTTTGTTTCTCCCTTTTTCCATTTTCCTTTAGCAACCAGTCAGACCTAATCTCTTCCCTTTTGAGTTTCTAGGAAATCTGAAATGGCTTTCCCTATATCTTGTCCCATAAAGGGGTTATTTCACTTCCGGGGGTACTTCTGTCTCAATTTTTCAGGTTCATTCCCTTTTAGGGAGATATCATCCCTACTGGTGTCCCATAGCTGCACCATTCATGTACATAAGGCTTTCTCTTGGCAGCTGTTTAAAAGTTTTTGTTATATCCAGTAATCCTACCCAGGCCTCTGTGTGTTGGAATTTTGCTTTCCACTGCATGAACAGTTTCACTCTCAAATGGGAAGGATAATAATCTTCCTCCTCTGAGTTAAACTCTATGTCATCATCTGGCTCACTGGTTGTTTGCCAAGAATTACAAGTATTTGCATCCCAGCCTCCACTGGCAAAGACAGTCCACACATTCAGCTAGCACATTTTTCTCTCTCTCAGCCACACAAAGTGGCAAGGTACAATTTCCAACTGTGCCTCTTGAGTTTCAAGTTTATCATAAAACCAGACATTAACACAGACATGGAAGTTCTCATCCCTTTCTCACTGCGATTCTTTTCCTAGCTTCCCTACCCTTGCCTCAGCTGCTACCTGTGCTTTTGTGACCACTCACATAGATAATAACAGCAGCAAACTTACTGTTGTCACTGTTTTCCCACCTTTTTCACCACAGTGAGTCATAGTTTTTAGTAACGTTTTACTAAAAAGCTTTAAACACACATAGTGGCCCACAGACATGTAGCATATGGGAACGCCACCCACATGGATGAGGAGGGTCGCTTGTAAAACTTCCTCCACAGATGCTTCTTTCCCCTTGTCCATACTTTGGTTTCCTGGCTGGCCATTTGCTCCATTAAAGGGCCGTATACACAAAGCAACTCTCAAATGCCAAAGGATCTGAAAAATTAAAGAAGAAGGCAGAAAATCCAGGAGGACTACCTGTCTCATAGCCTGTAATTTTTGTGGTAACACCCAGGTTGACATGATTTTACACTAAGGACAGTAAATAAATGAGAGATCAGAAGGCATTCATTGAACAGGGGCAAATCAGAAGTAACATGGTGGACTAGCATCCAAGATGGGTCATTTTGTCTCCACAGGTGTTCTATAACCTGCTTTTTTTTTCGAGGTACAGCTGGGAATATTAATGTAAGTGCAAGACATGCAAGGTTTTATCCTTCCCTGTCTTCAGTAGCACAGTGATGAAGAGAACAGTCTCTGCAGGGAAATGTCTAGTGTGAAATGAACTCTCCAAAATATAAGAACATGTAATATTTGACCACAGACAGAAGAATCAATAGGCTGGGCACGGTGGCTCACACCTGTAATCTCAGCACTTTGGGAGGCCAAGGCGTATGGTCAGGAGTTTGAGACCAGCCTGACCAACATGGTGAAACCCCATCTCTACTAAAAATAAAATAAAATAAAATAGCCAGGTGTGGGGACGTGTGCCTGTAGTCCCAGCCACTCAGGAGGCTGAGGGAGGAGAATTGCTTGAACCCTTGAGGCAGAGGTTGCAGTGAGCCGAGATCGCAACATTGCACTCCAGCCTGGGTGACAGAGCGAGACTGTGTCTCAAAAAATTAATAATAATAAAATAAAGAATCAATAAAAATAAAAAAAGAGTTGAAAATCTGATAGATGCCTATATAAACAAATAATCCAAAAGAAAAAGTAATGGAAAAAGGTGAATTTTCTTATTTTTTCTTTTTTTTTTTTTTGAGACGGAGTCTTACTCTGTCACCCAGACTGGAGTGCAGTGGGGCCATCTTGGCTGACTGCAAGCTCCGCCTCCCAGGTTCACGCCATTCTCCTGCCTCAGCCTCCCAAGTAGCTGGGACTACAGGTGCCCGCCACCACCCCTGGCTAATTTTTTGTATTTTTAGTAGAGATGAGGTTTCACCGTGTTAGCCAGGATGGTCTCGATCTCCTGACCTCATGATCCACCACCTCAGCCTCCCAAAGTGCCGGGATTACAGGCATGAGCCACCGTGCCAGGCTGGAAAAAGATGAATTTTCAATAAATATTTCAGTATACCTAATGTCCATCGGGAGAAATAAAATTTACTTTTAAACTCATGCACAAAATCAACTTCAGGTGGATTATAGACCTCCATAGAAAAAAGAATTCAATGGAGTATTTAGAATTTAATATAGGAAAATAATTTCATTACAATAGGGTAGGTGAGGAATTCTTAAAAAGCACCTACAAAGTGTTTATTCTAAGAGAGAAATGCTATTCTAACATAGTTGATGTGAGTAGGAACACTGGGTCAAACTCAAAGTTGTTCTAAGTCTTTTCCTATAGGGCTTTAGCTCAGATTCAGAGTTAGAACTTTCAGAAGGTCACAGTAGTGTCTACCTCTTGAGATGCTGTAACAACTTAATGCACTCATACACAAAATGTGTAGACTAATAGCAGCTTTGAAAGGAAAATAAAATCTCAGGACACTAAATCACTATGCCCAGTGGGAAAGTTAGGCTTGGGAACTGTGTCACACTAAAACTGACTTCCTTTTTTTCTCAAGTAGACAGCTGTAATTATACATGGTTACTTTATCTTATGCAAAATGTAGATCCAGCAAACACGAGATGAATTCATACTCAACTTTATCCCCCACTCCTCTATTTGCACATATCAAATGTGGTTTCAGTGAGTGCTAATCAAAGCCTCACGAGAATGCAAACGCTTGCCTCAGTGCCTAGCCCTCTTTGCTTTTTTCCCCCTTCCCCTACTGCTCACTTTTTCCCCTTTAAATGCTGAAGTCATCAAAACTTGCTTTGGAAAAAGCACAGATCACAGATCCTGCTGTAATTTGTGTTGCTTTTTCCCATGCACTTTCTCAACGTTGGCAAGATCTAGCTCTAAATTTACTGAGACCTGCCTCAGTCACTTTTCAGTTTATATTTTGGAAAGCACAATGAGTTCTGTGCAGAGTTTCGCCCTTTGGCCTGCAGCAACTCTCCTAGAAGGGCCCTGGTACAGCCAACTGGAAGCTTTGTATTGCTCTGACTGATTGGATGATTTGCTGAGGTCTGGGAGCCTCCCCCTACACAGATCCCTGATCTCCCAAACTTTTTGCTGGAGGTCTGAGGTATGTTCTCTTGTAGAACTCCCTCTCTGGGAGTTTGCTGCTTCTGAGGAGGCAGAGCGCAGTCTTCCACTTGGGCCAGCATCTCCAAGTAAGGAGCTGGCTGGGGGTTTTTAAATGGGATTTGGTGGCTTTGAGTCTAGCTTTCTTCTTAGCCAGTTACAAATTCTTAGGTTCAAAGATCTCAACTTACGTAAACTGTGCAATCACTTTTTCTTACTGTTTTGGTAAAAATCACTGTTTGTCTCCTCTACAAAGTTTTGACTGGAGATACATAAAAAAGATTTTAGAGATCTCATATTCTTAATAATCGATTAGAGAATCAAATTTTACAAATGACTTACAATAGCGTCATGACTATCCTTGAGAATTCTGGCTCTGTACATTAAAATCTATTAGCATTGCTTTAAATTCAGAAGACATACCCTTGATTAAAGTCCATGGTCAAATATTTAACTTTCTTTGGGTTCAGTGCACATACATGTGTTAGTGTGTGTTCCAAAATTGTACACCAAAACTCTGTGACCACAATTTTCCTGTATTACAAACCTGCAAATGTACCCCTGAGCCTAAAACAACACAATTGGTAAAATAAAATAGAAATATCTTCAGAATTTAATTTAGATATTTGGTCTGAACTGGTCAGGCAAGTCAGATACTGTTTTTGCTGGATGTTTTAGGGCCATAAACTGCTCTGTGATATTTTAAATAATTGTTTGATTTGTCTTTCTTACAGCCATAGTAAGTTCAGGGGACATATAGTGTTCTCCCTAGCCCAACTGTGCCCTCTGACTACACTGGGAAGGGTCAGACGTTATTGGCAGCTCTGTCTTTTGTCCCTGGCTCTGCACCTGATACACAAGTAAAATTTCTTACTTCCTAGAGTTTTTCAATGCAAGTAAGAGTTACTGAGAGGTAACATTACAATTAACATATATAATTGAATCTACTAGATACATCCAAAGTGCATAATAAAAGTGAGATGTGTTTTTAGAAAAAAAAAAATGCTATAGAAAGGTATGAGAAATGTGTTTTCCTTATAAAGGGAAAGTAATTTTGTCTACTGTAGAGGTTTTCAAGTTGTCTTTAAACTGAAGACAAACTGACAGATAAAGCTAAATGGATACAGAAAGTTGGGGCTTGGTGTGGTGGTTCATTCCTGTAATCCCAGCACTTTTGGAGGCCCAAATGGGAGGACTACATGAAGCCAGCAGTTTGTGACCAGCCTGGGCAACAAAGTGAGACACCATATCTACCAAAAAAAAAAAAAAAGAGCCAGGCACAGTAGTGTGTGCCTGTTGTCTCAGCTACTGAAGAGGCTAAGGTGGGAGGACTGCTTGAGGCTAGGAATTTGAAGCTGTAGTAAGCTATGATTGTGTCACTACATTCCAGCCCAGGTGATAGAGTGAGACCTTGTCTCAAAAGAAAGGTAAAGGAAGCTTGGAAGGAAATTTTTTTTTTTTGTTCTAAGGTAAAATCGTAGGACAAAACTGAAAGTTTGACGGAATTGTAGATTTGTAGCAGATTGATTTTACAAAAGAAATATTGTGTGTGACCAAGTGGGCTGAAATTTAAAGGGTATTATTCAGTCTTTCTATAAATTGAACATTAAAAAACACATTTATGCAAGCCCAGGATCTGGACATCATTTTTTCAGAGAATTTATCTGCTTCTCAGTAGAAAATAGTAAAAGGTTAACAAGCATTTCTTAAATCGTACCTTATGATTAAACTGATTGATATTTGATGAATTCATTTATAAAATTTTATTAAAATTGCTTTAGTATTAATACCATGCCATGCAAAGGTAAAGTTGGTTTTCTTTTTTGAACCAGGATCTTGTTTAATATTAAGAGAGACTAAAAGATTTTTGTTTGCCTTTTGGGCCAACTGCAAAAAAAGAGGAGGGGAGTAAGGTTCACTTGGTTTCATACTATATTTATTAGGTTTTACTGGTTTTTCATTTTTTCAGGGTATTTTTGTTTGTTTGTTTGAGACAGGGTCTCACTCTGTCACACAGGCTGGAGTGCAGTGGTGTGATCTCGGCTCACTGCAATCTCCACGTCATGGGTTCAAGTGATCCTCTTTCCTCAGACTCTGTAGTAGCTAGGACTACATGTACACACCAATACAACCAGAAAATTTACAAATTTATTTTCTGTAGAGACGAAGTCTCACTATATTGCCCAGGCTCGTCTTGAACTCCTGAGCTCAAATGATCTTCCCGTGTCGGCCTCCCAAAGCAATGGAATTACAGGCACAAGCCAGTGCACTCAGCCTGATATTAGACCTTATTGTTTAAGAAACTGTATCTCCTTTCTCTATATCAAAGAATAAAGATTTTTGCTTTTTAGAAATATTTAAAATATCATTTTTGACTTAATGAGTAATTCATTTAATCGTGATTGGTGATTCTATTTTGTAACACTGTTTCAATCCTTTGATATTTGACAAACTTTCCAAATCAAATTCTAATTTACCCTTAGTGACCTAATTAACTTTTTGAATATTAGGTCACCTGAAGTCCAACAGTGACAAATTAGCCACATTTAACATGTTAAAATCATACAGAAGCATGGTGAAATATTTAACTTTTGAGTTCTACTTACCCAAATATTAGCATGTGCTCCAAAATCATATGAGATGCCAATAATTCTGACATGCCTTACTATATGTTATCAGTAATAATTATATTATGTTAAATTGTTGTATGACACAGAAAAAAACAAATTTCTTATCAACTATGCCTGTAACTACAACCGTCCTAAGAGTTTTTCATTCACAATTGTTGTTTTACTTTGATTATTCTCAAAAAGTAGTTTATAAAAAACCAGTTGGCCAAAACTTGCTTCTTTAGAAGAGTTGGTGAAAATGACTCTGATAGGTTTTCTTGAATTTAGGTTTCTGATAACTTTGGAGATTGTGCCATTGTACGAATGAAAACAACAACAATACAAACAACAAAACTCCCAGGACTCTAATTAACAGGCTGATGTGTTCATGAGGATTGCTAAGCCAATATAAAGTAGAACAAGTTAATTATGTGGGACTGACGTAACAGAAGAACGAAACAAATTTTTAGGACTCTTTTATTTGAAACATTGATGACTATTTTTGTTTTTCAGAGTAAAGAAAGGTTTTTTCTTAGCTATTTATAGTTTTTAACAATTGAATATGGTACACTCTTTAGAGAAAAATTTCAAGTATACTTCTTTCTCTTTACCTGATTTCCCCAGAATTTGAAAACTATTTCTGAATATTCTTAATTTATGGTAATATAAGTTATTTGCATATGATCAATAACAATTTTTTTTTGTAATGGGACACAATTGGAGACACTGGTTACCTTGCCAAGGCTTTGGCTGGAATTGCATATTTTCATCAATGAGCAGATTGCTTTAAGAAATTTAGGTTGAATAACAGAACTAGTAAAATTCCCTTGGAGAGACTGGCCCTGTGCCTTCCGTATGCAGTTTCTTTACAGATTTTCTGATCTGTGGTAAGAAACGCATGTCACTTTCTGACAGGCCTAGGAACTCCAAGTAATCTTGCGACCTCAAGATGACAGTAATTCACCCAGTTCATACAGTTATTTGCAGGCACAATAAATGCTTGTTTGAGCTTGAGGGGCTATTTGAAAAGTCAAATAGTAGACACTTTGTTTAAAAAAAAGTTCCATCAATGCCAACTTAGAAGAGCCTATATGGAAAAAAAATAGTCTTGCTGCACTTTATGAAAATAATCAGGCCAAGTACAATAAAACTAAAACTTATTTTGGAAATAAATTGGTCTTACTATGATTTTTCTTTAGTAAAAACGGAAGACTGTAGAGAGAAAAAATGTATTTCAAATGAAACTATAGTACATCTTTTATTGGATTCTAGCCCTGTTCTTTGTCTTCCAGTTTTATTATTGGTTTACAATTTAGCTAGACTGGATCCTAAATTCTTTGCTGGTTACAAGTCTCCAAACTAACATTTTCAATGTCTTTTTTTTTTTCTTTCCCATTTTTTTCTGACTTGGAATTAGTAGAAAACTGTGCTTTTTGTAAAGCCCTGCACACTGAAACTAGAAAACTTAAACTTTGGGAGAAATAACAGCATCTTATTTATTTACATAAAACATTTCATGACTGTCTAGTTATATATGGACTGCTCTGTAATATAGTCCATCGGTTTTCAAGGATTGCTTTCTACTTTGTTGCTATAATCCAGCTGTGTCTCTTTTTCCTTCTTTTTTCCCTTTATTTCTTCTTCCCCCTATTTCTTCACAACCTTCTAGAATGAGTCTCCTTAAAAATGTGGATCCTAACCTTCTAGGAATAAACTATCCTAATGTTGAAAGATTAGGGAAAAAATATAACCAAACACTCATTTTCTTCTAAAATGCTTTCTCTGAAATATTTTGAAGAACAAGGAAAATAAAATCTTAGGATCCAAAACTCACTATGCCAAAGGAAAAGTCAGGAACTGAGTCATGCTAATACTACCTTCCTTTTGTTCCCAAAGAGACAGCTGTAATTTCACAAGTTTGCCTATCTTAGGTAAAATGTAGATCTACCACGCACAAGACAAATGCACAATCAACTTTTTCTCCATTCCTCTTTACACATGCAACATCTGGATGCAGTGAGTGCTAATCCAGGCCTCATAAGGATGTACTTCCCTCACTGTCTTTCCTCCCCTTTCTTTATCCTCCATCTACTCCTGCCTGGTCTCACCCCTATAAATATGGGAGTCAGCAAAACCCTCTTTGAAAAAAGCACAGGCCACAGAGCCTACTGTGACTTGTGTTTCTTTATCCTTAAACTTGGCAAAATAATTCTCTGAAATGAATGCCATCTGTGTGAGTCATTTTTGGTTTACATAGGTCTAACCTAAACACTAAGTTAGTATTTGCTACTGGTGACAGCTTTTTTCAAGTAATTGCAAGAAGTATCATATGTATAAATTGTAAAATACATCATTATTTTACATCACAATAAAAGCATAAAACTATTGAAAAACTATGACATCACAAAAATTTTATGTCATATATGTTGAAAATAATACTTTTTGTTTGAAATGCCTGCTCCCTGGTGCCATAAAGAAATAGCAGTTGAATATAAATTTAATTTCCTCAGCAATGCCATTTTTATATTTTCTTCAGAAAAGGTACACTCGCCAGCATTTTTGCCATGAGAGTACACTAAACAAAGGAGACAGGGTCATTTATAACCTGATGCTTCCACCCTACTGCTGTGTCCGGTTTCCACTGGCTGGAACAGGACCTCACATTCTGTATTTGTCCCGACTGGCTAGCAACTTAGAACTTTTTAAAAGAGGCAAAGGCAGAGGAGAACAAAGGAAGGAGGAAGTAACTTTTGGAATCTGGAGAAAGGTAAAAACACCTTGAAATAAGGAAGAGGAACAGGCTATGACCTAATGCTTGCTTGGACCAGTATAAGCATGCCAGGGCAAATATTTAGGTTAAATTGTGGGAGCTAAGGACATAAAGTACATTCATTTCTTTATTACGGCTAGCAGATATTTAAGAATGTTAACACAGGTCTTTGAAAAAATTTTGCTTCTAAGAGAGGTTACTATTTATTCCTAATGAGATTGGGAGGAAAGTCTTTGAAGAGGAACCTCTATTTTACTTTTTACACTTTTGAACTTATATAAATGTGTGTATTGATGTCATATCACTCCTATGATCACATGAGACAGAAAGTGAAAGCAAAATAGGTAATCAAGGTTTTCTAAAATTTCTCATATTTGGATAAAACTCTTCTAAATCACTGTGCAACTCACCTTGTCCATGGATTTTTTCTACACTAGCATCATCTCTGGTAATTAGGAGTTTTGCTGATGCCATATTTGTAGTGAGAGAACTATAAGAGTTTCTGATAGATTATGTTTCTCATCTACTAACGTCCCTCTCCAAGTCATGATATTAAAGATACCACCAGAATGTGAAAATGGAAGTTTTTTACATCAAGTTCACTTGTGTGCACACAAAGTCCATCACATTATGACTGTCTTCTAACCAATAGCCTTTTAACAATATTATGATTGATCTCTATTTGAAAGATGTAAAAAATATGCCTTTTAAAATAAATGGAACACACTATTTTTTCTCTGTGACTGCCCCCTCTCAGTATAAAATTTTGTCGGCTCATCATATGTATTCTGGTCTATTATTGCGAAAACATGCTTATCTATAGTTTCAAATTAGTTGAACAACTTATTTACCTGCTACCTCAGGATTAGAGAGAGAGTTATTATTGGGCTACTAGAATTCCTATTTTAAATGTTGCTATGAATTGTTTTAATTTTATATAACCTGGGTATTCATTTTGTACATAGTTTTGACATTCTCATACCAGAAATAGGGTTTAGAAATCCGTGACAGTTTCCAGTTTGTGGCCTCCTCCACATTCCTCAAGGTGGTCATTGAACATAGACCCTTATAAAACCTGCTCAAGGTGACTACTCCATATAAGACAGATGAATACCACCTTTATCTCACCTCACTGTCCCCTGTGGGAACTGCACAGATATTCGGCAGTAACCACCTCTCAGTCAAACTCTGACTCTGGGAAATCATGGTTGCTTCACCTTAACCCAGCAATTTGAACTCCTCATGAGAAACCTGCTTGGGTAACACTCCAAAACCCAATGTGATGTTTACTTTTAGGAGTCAACTAACTGTATTAAGGAACACCTAGAACACTGGCAAAGCTTTACTTCTGGGTCTGTGAGGTTTCACCAGAAAGGTCTGAAATGTGAGTCGGTAGACAGAGTGGGTAAGATCCTGTGATGGAACAGGGACCCTTTGTTAGGGGCCTGTAGCTTCCCCAAACAGGGAAATAAAGGAAAATCGTGAGTCCCTTCAAGGGAAATCCCTGGTACCTAGCTAGCACTGAGAAAGAAATGAGGAACTTGATAAGCAAGAAGGTAATAGTAGCCTAAACAACAGCCAAGGTAGTTACAGTCAGAAGATGTTTGCTTTGTTCTAAAGATCGCATCTTAACATACATTCCTGAGTCATTTTTCATAAACCTAGACCCCCACCAAAGGCATCTGCTGACAAGTACACCTCAGATAAGGGGGGCCTGAAAACTGAATTCTGACTGCCATTCTTTGTGCTAAATTTCTTCCTGAGGGGCTAGAGGGAGGCAAATCCATTAGCCAAAGAGCTAACATTTTTTTCTGCCAACCCCCAAATTTTAAAACAACTCTTCTTTTCTTTAACCAATTACAAATCAGAAAACCCTTGAATCTATGTATGGGCTGTAAGCCCCTGCTTCAAAATATCACGACTTTTCAGGACAAAACCAATGTGTAACCTCCACTACTGATTTATAATTTTGCCAGTAACTTCTGCTTTCCTGAAATTTACCCCTGCTTTAAAAAAACCCTTACCTGCAAGCCACTGGGGAAGGCGGAACTTAAGCATTAGCTGACTCATCCGCCTTGCTTCACAATGTCCAGATAAACACCTCCTTTTCTCCCACTGCAAATGTCAGTGTAGATGTCTAGTCTTACTGCACTGGGTGAGCAGACCTGAGTTGAATTCTTTAACAATCCACCCTCTATGTGGGTAGGCACCACCCAGTGGGCTAGGGGTCCTGATAGAATGAAAAAGTAATGAGAATGATTTTGCTCTCCCTCTCTCCTGGAGCTGGTACACTCTCTGCCTCCTGCCCTTGGACATCTTAACTACAGACTCTCTTCCTTGGGACTCCAGAACTTACTTCTGCATCCCTCCACATTCTCAGGCCTTTGGCCTCAGACTGAGAATTACACTGTCAGCTTTCCTCATTCTCATACTTTCAGCCTTGGAATGAGCCATGCTACTGGTACTCCATGGTTTATAGCTTACAGAAGACCTGTCTTGGCTTCCATAATCATGTGACCCAATTTATCTAATTAATGCCCCCCCCATCTATCTATATATGTATCCTATTGGTCCTGTATCTCTGAAGAATGCTAAAACAGGTTTTATTTTTTAAACCATGAATGATTGTAGAGAACCAGAATTTTAGGAATGAGTTTCTTTCATTGGTTTTGGGGTTTCTAAACTTAGATCTCTAAACTGATGATACCTAAAAATGCTAAAGACTCCATTTCTAATAGTCCAGAAAACATTGCTAGTCCATGTCATAAACTGCTTAAGGGATATGCAAACATCTACCTCTGACACTCCTAATCAACACTGATAAAAGACAAGGAACTTGGTGACTCTGACAGCACATCTTTAAATATCTGTGGAAAATCAAGGATTCTGCTTCTAGCGTTGATGAGTAAAGTGATCAATAAAAAAGATAAGAGAGATTCAAATTTCAGAATTCGGCTTCACATAAAAAGCCTTAGAGCTTCTTACAGTGCTCTGAGTGAGAATTATATCTCCTATAGTCACAGGGCTGAAAATGCTAAAAGTCAAACACAAACCTTCACCGTGCAGTTGGCTGAGTTACTATGAAAGTTGAACTTTCAGCCTAGCAAGGTACCTACTGTAAATTTACAGCACTGTACAGAGAAGAATGGAACTCTGTAGAGTGGGTTGGGAACATTTGGGGAGACCATGTTGAGGCTGGAGACATTGAGCTCTGAAATTCCGATGTCTTCTTTGCCAGCAGACCTGACCCCCTACTGACACCCTCTTGGCAGTAGCCTCTTCACCCACACTGGTAAAGGTGGTTCCACCTCCTCTGAGGGGATTACGCCAGCATTGCCTGAGGGAAAGGTAATGGACTGCAATGCAGATTCTCCTAAGGCCCCACACCCACCACTCCTTTTTGCTTCTAGGCCTATAAGTAGACTCAAATCTCAAAATGCCCTTAAAAATGATATACAAAGTTTGGCCCATGGGAGGTTCATGACAGTTCAAGAAAACTATTTGACTTTATAATTTATACAAGGAGAAATCTGGAGAACATGTGTGGAAAAGGGTATTAAGAGTTAGGATAATAGTGGAGGAAACAAAGTTGGATCACCCAGATTTATTGATATGGACTCATTAAAAAAGATACTGGTTTTAGTTTTGCAGCATGGGAAATTAGAAAGGGCCCTAACAGTTTGGTTGGTTGGCTGAACTATAAATCAAAAGATGGCCCTTATTTAGCCAGTTGGATATGCCTGATCTCCCTTGGCCTCATGTAGAGGAAGAGATTCAAAGGCTTAGAACGAATGGAACTCCAGAGTGCATTTGTCATTTGAAATCTACTCACCCACACTGGGAGGCTCCAGAAGACCAACCTTTCAGCAATACTTTAAGAAACTGATTTCTAAGGGGAGACCAGCATCCTTGAATAACTTTCTCTGTAGGTGGAAGCTTATACTGAGAACCACAGTCACTCAATAGAACATTTAAATGCATTGGGAATAACTGGATCTCACAGGTCCCAGAGCCATGTGGCAGCTGTCAACCTTCAGAGTCAAGATGGACATAGTTACCAAAATGGGCAGCAAAGGTACAGCAACATTCAGATGCATCTGACTCAAGTAGATCTATGGTGTTGGCTAGTTTGACTGTGGTGTTCTCAGAAGTAAAATAGAAAAGAAGCCTAATAAACCCTTAATTGATCTGAAAATACTGAAAACATTTATGTTTACCAAAGTCTAACTCAAATCAAAATACTAGAGAATCACAGCTCCTACTAAAGTCCAAGACTAGAGCCAGTTTATAGTCAAGAAATCCTTGAAAAAAGGAGCAGCCAGGTCCCCTTGATGAAGGACCCAGGTATACCACAAAAACTTTATACTGTTCATCTTTCTCCTGTCCTTCCCAAAAGGGAACCTATAACCTTTTAACAGCTGTGTTTTGGGGAAAGGAATATAGTAAGAACTTTTCAGGACTAGTAGACACTGGCTCTGACCTTACATTGATTCCAGAAGACTCAACCCAACTCAAAACATCACTATAGAATGCCAGTCAGAGTGGGGATTTATGGAGGTCAGGTGATTAAATTTTAGTCACATGAAATCACCATGGGTCCAGTGGCCCCAAACACATACTCTGGTCATTTCTCTAGTTGTAGATGCAAAGCTTTAATAGACCTAGTTAGCACCTGGCACATTTCCCACATTGGTTCCCTGACCTGTGGAGTGGGCGCTAGTATGGTGGGAATATCTAAATGGAAGGCACTAGAGCTGCCTCTACCTAGGAAAATAGAAAATCAAATTCATAACCACACCTCTGGAGTGACTGTAGAGATTACCACCACCATCAAGGACTGGAAGGATGCAGGGGTGGAGATTCCAACACATCCCTGTCTAATTTGGCCTGTGCAAAAGACAGATGGATCCTGGAGAGTGACAGTGGATTCCCACAAGCTAAACCAAGTGTTCCTTGTAATTGCAACTGCTGTATCAGATGTGGTTTTATTGCTTGAGCAAATTAACACATTCCCTGATACCTGGTATGCACCTATTGATCTAATGAAGCTTTTTCTCTATTTCTCTTCATAAGGCCCACCAGAAGTCATTTAATTTCAGTGTCAATAACTTCTCTGTCCTACCTCAACATAATATCAACTCTCCATAACTAAGTCACAGTTTGCAGGAAGTTGATCACCTTCTCCTTCCACAAGATACTACACTGGTCCATGGCATTGATAACATTATGCAGATTTAAATTAGTGGATGTGCAGTAACAAGTACTCTGGACACTTATAAGGTATTTTCATTTCAGATAGTGGGAAATTCTCTAACTAGACCTCTTTTACCAAAAGCAAAAAGCAAACAAACAAAAAAAAGGTATTAATGTCCCTATGCCAGAATAAGGGACTACAAGAAAACATGTAAATTGACTTCCACAAGGATAAAAGCCAGAGAAGCCAAGCAAATATTTCCTGAGTTAGACTCTCCCCATGAAGCCATGAAGAGCCTTGTGACACCTGGTCTCCCCTGAGACCCAAAGCCTCTTTGACACCAGCAGTCTCTGTAATTGGCACACTGGCTCCCTAGCAGTAATCCCCCTGGAAAGTCTTCTTAAAAAGCAGAGGATATCCAGGATGGTTTGAAAATTCTCAAGGCAACTATTTTTTCAAAAATCCATAGCTATCCAGGTAGTTAAGGATGCCCATGAGAGCTCACATTATGGTAGATAACCCTGTACAGTTGGCTCCTTCAAATGATGACCACTCCCAACCTTGGAGACAGTGCAGCAAGTGACCCACAGTTGCTCTCTCTGCCACACTAACAGTCCCCATAACAGATCACCCACAAGGCCTCATGTTAAGGAGTACAATTTAGGGGAATTTAGCCTGGCAAGGACTGGCAAACACACTTTACGGTCATGCTCCAGACCCCCGGGAACTTTAGATACCTTCTAGGTGTGGTTGTTATCTTCCCACGATGGATAAAGGTGATCAACTCGCTCTGATACCACCTCGGAGGTATCATGCCATCTCTTAAAGGATATTTTCCTAGGTTTGGGCTGCCTAAAACCATGTAGTGGACAAGTTTTTTTTTTGTTTTTTTTTTTTGAGATGGAGTCTCACCCTGTTGCCCAGGCTGGAGCGCAATGGCGTGATCTCAGCTCTCTGCAACCTCTCCCTCCCGGGTTCAACCAATTCTCCTGCCTCAGCCTCCAGAGTAGCTGGGATTACAGGTGCCCACCACCACGCCTGGCTGTTTTTTTGTATTTTTTAGTGGAGATGGAGTTTCACCATGTTGGCCAGGCTGGTCTAAAACCCCTGACCTTATGATCTGCCTGCCTTGGTCTCCCAAAGTGCTAGCATGAGCCAGCTTTGGCCTCCCAAAGTATAGGCATGAGCCACCGTGCCCGGCCAGTGGGAGAGGTTTTATAACTTAAATTACTCAAAAGGTAGCCCAAGGCCTAGAAATTCCCTGAAAACTCCACACAGCAAGGAGACCCCAGTCCTCAGAAGCAGAAAAAGCCACTTAAAGCTTAAAGAGAACGTTGGCTAAACTGTGCTGGGAAACAGAGGAAAACTGACTCACTCTCTTACCATAGCTCTTCTGGACTCTAATCATCCGGTGGATGTGATCATACATTCTCTGACAGTAGTCAGCCTCTTTTCCCAGGCACCTATGTCATCAATCACCGGGCTTATGAATAAAGTGGCCACAGTGGTAGGGACTGAGGTTTTGCATACACACAGCAATCTGGAATTCCTTTCACCATGGCCAACCAGGTTACAGACCCCTCTGAGTGTTCCAACTGTCAGCAGCAGAAACTAACACTGAGCCCCTATATGGCACCATTCCCCAGGAAGATCTGCCAATTTCCTTGTGGTAGGTTGATTAACTGGGCAGCTTTCATCAGGGAAGGGGCAGCATTTTGTTCTTCCTGGAACAGTAAGAGAGTTACTCCATCTATAAATTTTACTTCCTTGCATGCAAGTATTCTGTGGAAACTACCATCCATGGACTTAATGCCTATCTACCATCATGGTATTCCACACAGCATTGCTTCTGAACAAGGAACTCACTTCACAGACAAAGAAGGGCAGAAACGAGTTCATGCTCAGAAACTTCAGTGAATTCACCATGTTCCCTATAATCCTGAAGCAACTCACTTGAAACAATGGTGGAATGACCTTTGGGAGTCACAGTTCCAGCACCTGCTAGATGACAATACTGTGTAACTGTGGGGCAAGGTTCTCTAGAAGGCTGTATATGCTCTGAACCAGCATGCATTATATGGCGCCATTTCCCCCGAAGCAGTGTGGTCACAAACACTTCATCAATCTCCAAGGACTCCCAAATATTTCCTGTCTTCTAAACCCTCACAAGAATATAGGCTTTTACTAGTCTCCCTCTCCAAGATTCTTTTAGCCTCTGCCCATCACCCAATTTGAAAGACACTTTCATATTTTCAGGTATTCATTTTCAGCAACAACCTACTTGTCATTACCAGTTTTCTGTATTAGTCCCTTCTTTGTTGCTTAAAACAGAATACAAATTATTGGGTAATTTATAAGGAAAATAAATGTATTTCTTACACTTAAGGCATAAATGATGGCTTGGCAGCCTCCACAAATTTTGAAGTATTTTTTTTTGACAGCCTGGGAGCCCAGAGAGAGAGTTGTCACAGGGCCAGATCCACTGCAGAGAGCCCCCAGTAGAAGGATGCCAAACACAAATGTGGGGTTGGAGCTGCTGCAAAGAGTCCCCACCAGGGCAATGCCAAGTGAAGCCACAGCAGTGAAGTCACTACAGAGAGCTCCACATGGGTAATGCCTAGTGGTGCCAATACCAGGATCCCAGGATTGTGAAGTCCCCTGTGGCATTCAAAGCCTGCCTGGGAAAATTTCAACCAGTACAAGCACCCACGGGTGATTCACCAAGTAAAACCTTAGGGGTGACACTGACTAGGGCTTGCCACTCCAACCCTTATCTCAGTGTGTTAAGGGGTAAAACTAAAAAGGCTTTCCAGCATTAAGACGTAATGTTTGCCCTCCTGGACTTCAAATTTACTTAGGGGCTGTTACTGTTTTCTTTGTGTCTATTTCTCTCTTATAGAATGGGAATGTGTACATTATGTTTATCCTGAAATCACCTTTGAAAAAATTCTAACAGTGAGAAAATTATGACTGTAAAAGAGAGATGACCTGACTGAATCCATCTTGCCTTTAATCTCCAAGCTTCCCTTGTTTGTTCCTGGACAAAGGGAACATTAATATTATAGCCTATCTTTCAAACAAAGATGACAGCCCTTCCTTGAAACAAATCCCTTAATTGCTTGGAGACCAGACCACCTTTGTAAAACCAACAAATTAACCACAAGATTAGAAAATATGGTTCAAGAGCCATACAGCCAGAGGCCATAACATTACTAACATCCTCAATTGCTCCTAGAGACAGCATTCATACTGTGAACCTAAGGGGCCTAGGATCCCTATAAGCCCACTGTTTGGGCTGGCCCTGCAGACTTGTCAGTTAACAAAATTTGCTACACCTCCCTGAAACAAAAAAGTTGAAGTTTCCCTCTTATCTTGTTTTATGTCCTTGAAAACTTGACTTCGTAACCATGTGAGGGTGCTGTCCCTTGTTCTCCCACATACAGAGGGTTGGAATTTCTGGATTCAGGTCAGGCAGCCAGTCTGAAAGGATACATGATAATGTCACAGCTAGCTTTAAGGATTCTCTTGAGCAGTTACAATCCTTGAAGCTTGGAGCTGACTGACCTACATTATTTCTGACCAACAGCAACTGCCCCATGCTGTAGCTCAGTAACTAAGGTTTTTCCCTTTTACTGCAGCAGCCTGGGTTTGATTCTCACCTCAAACAGTAAGCCCTTTCTAGTGTGATATTTGGAGACTGTTTGCCATTCATTCGATGATTTTCTTCTCCATGGACATCTTCTCACTTTCTGTCTTAAATTTTCCTTTCTAAGCTATCTTTGGGGAAATTCTCAATCTTGCAAAAACTGCTTGCCATCTCTGTGAGACACCTCATGCATCCATGGTTAAGTCATAACCTTAGTTAGACTTATAAGTTTCCCATGGGCAGTTACCTTTGGAAAAGTTTAAAGCCAAAAATACTACCTATTTGTCTTGGCTAAAATCTATTAATAAAAGATTTCAGCAGATTTTCTTTTGAGAACTCTGTAATCAAAAATCAACTTGATTAAGGCTGATATTGAGCTACATGTGTACAGATACTATTTTAAAGCCTTTGCTCTCCCTCTGTAAAAGTTTCTCATTCAGTGGAATTCTTTCTGATCCTCCATTTACTCCTGTCTGTTCCTCCTTCCTCTTGTATCTAACCTTTTTGACTTGCAGGGACCTGAAATTACTTTGCATTATGAAAAAAAATTAACCTTGATGTGTAATTGCTAGATAAAAAATATACTTTTTAAAATGACTAATGGTAGTCACTTATAGTAAGTGATTATTACTACAGGGTGATACTCTTTTATTTGTACATTTAAATAAGAAGGATGTGCTCTTATGGGCCGATTACAGAGTGGGCTGATGGGCGCTGGGTTTTCCAGCAGCCTTGAGGAAATGTCCTTACAATGAAACACACTGTGGAAGCATTGCACTGTGTCATGCCATATTGTTTGCCTCTTTAGGGGACCCAGGATTTGGTATAAAAATAAGATTCATCATTTAGGGGAATCTGTTTTGACTTCCACCTCTGCCTGATTACTAGGACCTAGAAACTGCATGCTTTCCTGGTTCTGTTCCTTAAAAGGTTCCACCCCAAAGGCAATAATCCCATTTAAAAACTTAACAACTTTAAGAAAATCTCCACATGTAAGAGTGTCTGCTTTTCCTGGCCATCCTGACTGAACTTTTACCCCCACATTTTTCCTTGCTTTAGATAAAATATAAATTCTCTATAATTATTTCACCTAAGAATTATCCCTTTAAAATAAAAGTGTGGAACTGCCTGGTTAAAAACTTTTTAGGGCAGGGAACAGGTAATCAAGAGACTGATGATCTAAAATGAAAAAGAAAAACTTAAAAAACTGACAAATGAAGAATCCATATAACTCTACCAGATCTGCTTCTCTATGTCTGTGTATTTATATACTTCATATATGTAATATTTTGCTAACAAACTATATAAAAGAGCTCTAATTAATTGGCATATATATATATGCACTTAAATAAAATATTTTACCAGAAAAAATTTAACTAAAATGCTTTTTGTTCACACTACTCTAATAATCTTTGAATAATAAAGATAGCTTTAAAGATTATTGGTACAATAAAATTATTTCTTCAACATTTAGACATTTGGTCTAAATTAGGCAGGTCAGATATTCTCTTTGCTGTTTTAAGGTTATAAATATCTATGACTTTTTGTAAGTGTCCAACCTGCCTGCATAAGAGCCAGCAGCTTCTAGGTAAAGCCTGGGGACATGTTGAGTTAGCCACGCCCCTGAGCTATGTTGGAAAGAATCATACATTATCTTCATTTTTGTCCCGTGTCCTAGGCTCTGCACTTGATACGAAATTAAAATTGCTTTCACTAAAAATAAAAGTTGTGAAGATTTAACATTGTAACACATGTGATTGACACTGCTGAGAAAAGACTGACATTCAAGGTATATAAAAATTATAAAATGTGCTTTTGTAAAAAGTTATAAAAAAGACCTAAGATATTGTCTTTGTTTAGAAAAGTAATCTCGTCTAAATTAGAGGTTTTAAAAATTGTCTTAAGTTAAAAAATAATAGGAGAAAACAGAAGGTTTAAGCAGGTTATAAAAGGTTTGTAAAAGATTGGTCTAGTAAAGAAAGTTCTGTGTGTGAGTGTGAGCAACTTGCCAAAACTTGAAGCAGGTTACTTAGTTTTTCTACAGAATGATCATTAATGTAAAAATCACAGTGATACAGGCCCAGAATCTGCCCCCTTAGGTATGATCAACAGAGTTTTCATGGAGCATTAATCAGTTGTTTAGTAGAAAATTGTAAACAGTATGCTCAAACTGATTTAGATTGGACAGATCTGTTTATAAGGTTTTATGTAAAAATTGGGTTTGACATTAATAAAACACTAAGGCAAAGGTAAAATTTGGTTTCTCTTTAAACAAGATTTTTGTATAATACTGAGGGATAATAAAATATTTTTATTTGTCTTTTAAATAAACTGAAAAATGTAGGGGAGAGAGAAGACACAGATTCAGATGGCCTCATGCGGTCGTTGCTTGGTCCTGTTGTTTGGGAGCTGAGTCTCCTCTCTACCAATGAATAAAGGCATTTGCCTTTTTAAATTTTTGAGCTATCATTTTGGCTAAACAAATGATTTGTGGTTATCTGGGATTCTATTTTGTGATTTGAACTGTTTCAAACCTTTAATATTTGCACACTTTGAAAAATAAAATTATAAACTAAGAATTTTTATTTTAACTCATTAGCCTTTTAAGCATTAGGTCCCCTGAAATCCAAAAGAGATATATTTGGCTTATTTGGTATATTAACCTACAGAAAACACTGTCAAATACAAAATCATGTTTAACTTTCTTTGGGTTATACTTATATAAATATGTTATTAGTATGTATTCCAAAATTATATGGTTCCTATAATTCTAATATGTCTCAGTATATGTTATCAGTCATAATTATGATTATTACATTGAATTGTTATGTGCCACAGAAATGACCAGATTTCTTTGTCGACTGTGTCTTTAACAATGGCCTCGTTGGACACAGTGACTCATGCCTGTAATGTCCTCACTGGGCACGGTGGCTCATGCCTGTAATCCTAGAACTTTAGGAGGCTAAGTTGGGAGGACTGTTTGAGCTCAGGTGTTTGAGATCAGCCTGAGCAAGATAGTGAGATCTTATCTCTACAAAAAAAAATCAAAAAATTAGTTAGATGTGGTAGCACTTGCATGCAGTCCCAGCTCCTCTGGAGGCTGCAGAAAGAGGATTGCTTGATCCCAGGAAGGTGAGGCTACAGTGAGCCATAATTGTGCCACTGCACTCCAGCCTGGGTGGCTTGAGACCCTGTCTCAAAAAAATCAAAGTAAAATTATTAAAACAATGACTGTCCTGAGATTATTGTCATCCACAGATTATTGTGGTCTTTTCTTTAACTAGTCAAAAGGTGTTTGCTCTTTGAAATGTTTTCTTGAATACAGGTTTCTGATAACTAAAGATTGTGGCATTGAAATAGGAAAACAAAACAAAACAAAACAAACAAACTTTCAGGACTCTCAGAGATAGCTGGTATGTTTATGAGGACTGCAGGCCCAATGTCAGACAAAGTTCACTGCATGGACTGAACTAATACAAGACCACAGTAATCGTTTTATGACTTGTTGCTTGAAATGTTGCTGATCCTTTTTGTTGTTTTTCAGAGTCAAGACCACATTTTTCTTTTCAGCTATTTACAGCTTTTCATGATTCAGTAAAGTGTATTCCTGTGAACAAAAGATGAAGGATATTTCATTTTCTCTACTTGATTTCTCCAGAATTTGAAAACTATTTATGAGTATTCTATACTATGGAAATATAGTTATTGACTAAGTACAATAAGAATCTGATTTCTTTTGTAACAGAACACAATTGGAGACACTGATTATTTTATCAAAGACATGGTTATTTTACCAGTGGAATGGCCTACTTTCAGATACAAACAGACAGGCTTGAGGAATTAAAGTTGACTAACAGAGATCATAAAATCCCCTTAAGAAAGTGACCTCATAACTGCCTACACAGGCCTTGTACAGGGTTCCTGACCTGTGGTTAGTAAAAAAATGTCACATTCTGACATGCCTATGATTCCCAAATTATCTTTGGAGCTGAAGAAGAGAGAATTTCAAGCAATCTGTACAAGTATTTGCAGGCACAGATAGATCCCTTCAAGGCTTTAAAAAAGTCCAATCCGAGATTCCTTAGGGAACAAAGTTCCAGCAAACCCAATTTAGAAAGAGCTAATATGGCAAATAATTATTCTTGCTGAAGTTTACACAAATAATCAGGCTAAGTATAATAATACCAAAACTTATTTTGCAAATAAATATGACCTACTATGATACGTCTTAAATAAAAATGAGAACTAGAGAGCAAAACATTGTATTTCAGAAAAATACTATAGCACACCTGTTGTTAGATTCTAGTCTTGTCCATTGTTTTAGAGCTTTTTATTGTTTTCTGCATTTTGGACTGAATCCTGAAATCTCTCAGAGCTAAAGTCCTCAAACTAACACATTCACATTTTTCTTCCACTTTTCTGACCTGGACTCAATGAAATGGCTACGACCTTCTTCCTGAGGCCCCAAAGGCTGAAGTTTATCCCTTGAGATACAGATGTGAAATATGTGAGATTGTCATCACTATCCTCCTTTGCAACTTAAAAATGCTTTGAATCTAACATCCAGATGCATTGTGCCCAATATCAATCTTTGTTATTATTTTCTATTTCCATACCAATGCCTGTTATTAAAAATATTTTTTGCCTTAATCACATAAGGAGGCCTAGTTCATTTGCAGTGACGCCTCCTGGAATGAAACACTGCTAGGATCTATTCCAAGGACTAGGAAACTAACTAAAAAGATATGACATGGTATATTTAAATTTGCTCTTTCCTGTTTATCCCAATTTGTCTTTCTAACAACCTCTGACCCAAATCTCTCTTGACTATTGACCCCATGTCTGACTGGTTCTTGGGGTCATTCACCCGAATCCCTAAAGGATTTAGATGAATTATATAAGTACTTCTGAAGCTAGGACTTCCACTCCTTACATTAGGACTCATTATCCTATAGTCAGCTGTTCACTTAAGTGCTGTACTAAAACTGTGGATGAGAGTACTAACATCTTGGTCATGCAATTCTAGGAACCCCAACCAGGCACCTGTGAATATACTCAAGCAGCTGCAAAGCAGTTTCATTCCATTTACTCTGGGGCCAAACCCTATCTCAAGTATACCCCTTGTCAGCAGGAAGAAGTTAGAATGGTCTTTGGCCTTTTCCCAACTCTGTACCTCACCCATTAAGAATAAGATGCAATGAAACTTGGAAGGGGAAATTGAAATCACATTTGCAAAGACAGTAACAGTGAGAAAATTATGACAGGGAGAGAGATATGACCTAAGAGACTTCATCTTGCATTTAACCTCCAAGCAGCCCTTGCTTATTCCTGGGTAAAAACAAAACTAACTTTGGGAGAAATTTACTTTGTAGTTGAATTTTGAAACAAAGATAATAACAGCTCCTCCCTGAAACAAAACCCCTCATTGTTTGGGGACAACATCAACTTTGTAAAACTAACAAATTAACCACAATATTAGAAAGTATGGCTCAGAAGTCATACCATCAGAGGCCACAAGATTAATAACCTCCCTGATTGCTCCTATCAATAACATTACTATTGTAAAACCTAAGATTGGTGTTTGAGGTATTTTTCATAACTTGCATCCTGACAGATCAGCGGGTGCCACCCAAACCAGTAAACTGGCTCATCTGGATACGTGGCCCACACCCAGGAGCTGAGTCAGTAAAGAAGATGGCTTTGACTTCCTAAGATTTCATCCCTGACCCAACCAATCAGCATGTCCCTTTCTCTAACCCCTGCCCACAAAACTATCTATAAAAACTCTAGCCTCTGAATATTTGGGGAAGCAGTTTTGAGTAATAGGAAAACTCTGCTCTCTCCTTTAGCCAGCTCTACATGTATAAAATTTTCTCTACAGCAATTCCCCTATCTTGGTAAAGTGGCTCTAACTGGGCAGCAGCCAACATGAACCCATTGGCCATTAACAACCCAACTGCTGAATTTTGTATGAAGATAACTTGTTTTGATTTCATGGGCTGACAGAGGAGACTTTAGATTTGGGAACTTTCTGTTGGTGCTGGAACAATTTAAGCCTTTGAACGATAGGAATGAAATAAACTTTTTTAAGTGACAGGGCGTGATTTTTAGAGTCAGAAGTGGAGCCCTGTGGTTGGAATACTGCTTCCCTCCCAAATTTATGCTGAAATTTCATCCCTAACATGGCAGTATTGAATTGTGAGACCTTTAAAAGGTGATTGGATCATGAAGAGTTTGACCCCATAAATGAATTAATCCTTTCATGGATTAATAAATTAATATATAAAAATTAATAGCCTATTATGAGAGAAGAGTGACTTATAGGAAGGGAGACATGATCTTGCATGTCAGCAAGCTCTACTCCATTGCCATACGATACCCTGTAGGCTTCAGAACTCTTCACAGAGTCCCAACCAGCAACATGATCTCACCACATACAACCTCTCAACCTTAGACTTTTCAGCCTCCATAACTGTAAGAAATACATGTGTTTTCTTTATCAACTACTCAGTTTCAGGTATTCTGTTGTAAGTAACAGAAAATGGACTAAAAAAAGTCTTCACATTACTATGCCCCGTTATTAAGTTCAATGGATTATTACAACCATTCCAGACAAGAATACAAATGCTCCAGATCTTTCAGGAATGAAGGTTTGCATTATCCTGCCAGGTAAAGACCCAGGACCAGCAGAGGGGCTTGCTGAAGACAAAGAGAATACAGAATGTGTAGCAGTAGAAGGGAGTTACAAATACCAGATAGGGCCAGGCGTGGTGCCTCAAGCCTGTAATCCCAGCACTTTGGGAGGCCAAGGCAGGCAGATCACCAGATCAGGAGATCAAGACTATCCTGGCTAACACGGTGAAACCCCATCTCTATTAAAAATACAAAAAATAAGCCGGGCGTGGTGGCGGGCGCCTGTAGTCGCAGCTACTTGGGAGGCTGAGGCAGGAGAATGTGTGAACCTGGGAGGCGGAGCTTGCAGTGAGCCAAGATCATGCCACTGCACTCCAGCCTGGGTGACAGAGCGAGACTCTGTCTCAAAAATAAAAATAAAAAAGTAAATAAATAAATACATACATAACCAGACAGGACCAGGTGACCAGTTACAGAAACAAGGATTAAAATTGTCACTATTATTTCCTATCTACTTTGTTAAGAATACATTTGCGTGTTATATATAAATATATTAGGCAAATAACATTGTTTTTATTTCTCTCTTCTTCTTTTGTCACATAACACAATAATGTATTACCTTGATATTAGCAGTTAAGTGTTAGTAATTTAACATTTGTACTGAAGTTATGGGGTATCAGGAGAAGAGTAAACATCACCCACAAACTTCTACCACTCTTAAGAAAAATAGTATAGTGTGTTCTGGTTGCACACAGGATCATTGAATCATGTTACGTAGAACTATTGCCTTGTTATTGACTGTATCTGAAGATTAGTTATGGCTTAAGGTGACACATATAGGTGCCAACTAGAAAGGTGTTGGACTTGTCATGGTTAATTTAAGGTGCTGACTGGATTACAGAATACCTAGAGAATTGGTAAACCATTACTTCTGGGTGTGTCTGCCAGGAAGTTTCCAGAGGAGACTGATGTATGAGTCAGGGAATTTAGTGGGAAAAATCCACCCTCAATGGGGGAAGGCAGCATACAATCTCCTTGGGGACTAAACAAAACCAAAAATGAAAAATTTTAAAAAAGTCTTCCTGTCTCTCTCCTGGAGAAAGTATATTCCTTTTCCTGCCCTTGGAAAACAGAACTCCATGATCTATGGCCTTCAAACTCCAGAATTTATACCAGTAAATGCCCTGGATTCTCAGGCCATTGGTCCCAAACTAAGAATTACACCAAGAGCTTCTGTGATTCTGAAGACTTCAGCTTTGGAATGAGCCACCACGTTACAGCATCCAAGGTCCTTAAACTCGCAGATGGCTGTCTTGGGAATTCTCCGTCTCTATAATGTTACATGAGTAAATCCCCAAACAAAATGCTGTTCATCTAACTATTGTCTATCTATCTATCAACTCTCCATCTATGTATCTATCTACCTAAAAAACTACCTCCCTGTAGTTCTGTCTCTCTGAAAAAAAATAACTGACAAATACACCCATAAAGACTTCAGCCAAATGGTGCAATACTATGTCTTTCTCTAGTTGCTCCTGCACCACCCCTGCTGCTTATGAGTGTATGTCCTGGAGAGCTCTTCTCTGTCCATCAGCACTTCAAGGAATGCTGCCCTCTTCTTACTGGGATTGGTTAGTAATACATTACGCATGTCATTATACACATTTTGCTGAGTTGCCACCTCTGTATTTCACTTTACGAACACACATGGACATCACTTTTCTCCCACTTAGCACTCTCCTAGAGAGCGGTTTCCTTGGTAGAATAAACTAGACACAGGTCAGACAGGAGCCACAGGGTGTCTTACAGTATAAACAAGTACTCTGTGAGAAGGATACCTGGATGTAAGCTGGACAGTTGGGCTTTAGGCCATCGACCAGGATAAGAAAGCATCCCATGAAAGGCACAGCCAGTACCAAACCCTGAGTCGTAGTGGGCAAGGCTATAGGTTATAGCCACCATCCAGAGAGGACTTAAAGCAAACAGAAGTAAAAATAAAACACACGCTGTGAGATAATTTTATGAACTATGGTTCCAGGAATCCTAGGGAGGGAAACTAAAAATGGCAAGGCATTATTTGAAAGTTTGCACTGGAGTGGTGGCTCCCCAAAGATAAAGAAATATCTCAGGTTGGGCGTGGTGGCTTACACCTGTAATCCCAGCACTTTAGGAGGCAGACGTGAGCGGATCACGAGGTCAGGAGATTGGGACCATCCTGGCTAACACCGTGAAACCCTGTCTCTACTAAAAAGAAAAAAAAATTAGCTGGGTGTGGTGGCAGGCACCTGTAGTCCCACCTGCAGGGGTGGCTGAGGCAGGAGAATGGCATGACTCTGGGAGGCAGAGCTTGCAGTGAGCTGAGGACACGCCACTGCACTCCAGCCTGGGTGACAGAGCGACACTCTATCTCAAAAAAAAAAAAAAAATCTCTATCTAGAGGATTTCAGCCCTAGTCATAGAAATATAAACAACGACCTCTGTAACTTATTTATTTATTTATTTAATGGGGTTTAACTACATTGCCCAGACTGGAATGCACTGGTTATTCACTAACACAATCATAGTACACTACATAGCCTCAAACTCCTGGTATCACATGATCATCCTACCCACCCTCCCTAGCAGTTGGGACTGACTACAGGTGTGTGCCACCACACTTGCACAGATAAAATTTTAAATCAAGAAAGTTGCATTTCTTTTTCTTCTTTCCCATAGTAATTCTAATCATGTGAAGAATGATCATACAAATCATTTTATGATTAGTTACTGCAGATGTAGATGCATTATAGTTTCCATACAATCTTTTATGCTGTCCACTTGTTACTTGGAGCAACTTTATTTCTGGATACTTGAGAGGAAGAATGGGCCTTAGTGTTCCCTGAAGAAGAGAGTAAAATAGAAACTCATCTGATTTATATTTTATAACCTTACTGCATTTGTACCATGAGATTTAGTTCCATGAAGGCTCAATTAAGTTAACAGGGAGACCTGATCTCAAATATATGAGCCATGTCTACACTTCTATTTATTTTGAAATAATTTTAGATTAACAGAGAGTTGTTAAAATCTTACATAAAGTTGTATATAGCTTTCAATTTCCTGTTATATTAATATCATACACATAACCATAGACTATCTATGAAAACTCAGAAACTGATAAAGGCACAAAACTATTAACTAAAGTACTGACTGTCTTTATATTTTACCAGGTTTTTCACTAATGCCATTTTTCCTTTTCTTGGATCTAATCAAGGATAACATATTATGTTTACCATCAAGTGTATTATTGTTTATTGCAGCATAGCCAATTACCATGTAGCTTAGTGGCTCAAAAGCACATACAAATTACTCACAGTTTCTCTGGGTCAGGAATCCAGATATAGATGATGGCCAAGGCTGAGGTCTCACCTGAGGATCAGCTGGGGAGGAATCATCTTCTAAGTTCACATGATTGACCAGGTTGAGGAGAATTCACTGATGAATTATTTGAAACCTTTAAAATATCAACAGCAATTTTTTACTAACTGTTCTCCAAAAAAATAAAATAATAGAGAAGAGATCAGTGTGCAATACATTCTATGAGGCAGTTTCCTCTGAGGCCACAACCAAACAAACGCAGTCCAAACAAGGAAAACTATAAACTAATATGCTTTATGGGTACCCAGGCAATAATTCTCAAGGAAATAGTCTGAACACAAACCAGGATTGTAAAACAGAATTAAACACTAATTTATTTATTTATTTACTCAGGGTCACAAGTTTGGTAAAACACAGAAGAAGAATTAGTGTAATAACTATATTAATATAATAAATAACAAAATTTTCATTATGACATCTAAAGATATGGAATAAGCACTTTCCAATTCAAAAACCCACTCACAGTAAAAACACTAAACAAATTTTGCAGAAAGGGAATGTTCTTACCTAACACAGACACCCATGAAAAATTCACATGACAACACATGGTATCAAGTAGGTCTCAGTAATTTTCCCAAAATTACAAACACAAAAGGTTATCTATTCCCACTAATTCAACTAAATATTCTTGAGGATGTAATTTATAAAATTAGGCTGGAAAAATAAATATAAGACTTCCAAATTGAAAGGGAAGAAGTCAAACATCTATTGGCCAGTGACATAATCTAATGTATAGAAAATCCTAAAAAATCCACTAAAATAAGGTTGGAACAAAAAAAAATTCAGTCATGATCAATGTAATAAATTGCATTCTTATACAATAGAAACTAATCAAATAACAAAACAGAAAACAATTTCATTTAACACGGCATCAAAAAGGAAATATATTTGAAAATAAACCTAATATAACTGCAATATATATATACTAAAAATTACAAATGATATTGAAGTATTAAAGAAATCCTAAATAAATGCCTAAAAGAGTTAGCATAATATACTATATGAACTAGATTTTCATTGATCAGAAAGCTATTAAGTATTAACCAACATGATTATACTTTCTAAATGCATCTTCAGATTCAATACAAGCCCTACTAAAATTCTAACTTTAATTTTTTTCATTTTTAGCAATTCTTGGACCACTGATTCTAGAACACACAGAAAAATGCAATTGATCTAGAACAGCCCAAAGAATGTTAAATATTTTTTACAGAAACACAAATGACATTTATAGAAGGTCTGTCCATAGGGTAATGGGGCATAATTCCCCACTTTTTATATATGTGCTCTGCATATTGATGTTTTTTCCAAAAGGAACAACATGAAAAGGGGAATAATATTAATTTTATTGTTGCAGGAAGTCAGCGACCCCAAACGGAGGGACCAGCTGAAGCCATGGCAGAAGAACATAAATTGTGAAGATTTCATGGACATATATTAGTTCCCCAAATTAAGACTTTTATAATTTCTCGTGCCTGTCTTTACTGCAATCTCTGAAGCCACGGCAGAAGAACATAAATTTTGCAGTTTTCATGGACATATATTAGTTCCCCAAATTAAGACTTTTATAATTTCTTGTGCCTGTCTTTACTGCAATCTCTGAACATAAGTTGTGAAGATTTCATGGACATTTATCACTTCCCCAGTCAATACCCTTGTGAATGCCTGTCTTTACTTTAATCTCTTAATCCCGTCATCTTTGTAAGCTGAGGAGGATGTATGTCACATCAGGACCCTGTGATGATTGCGTCAACTACACAAATTGTTTATAGAGCATGTGTGTTTGAACAATATGAAACCTGGGCACCTTGAAAAAACAACAGGATAACAGTAATATTCATGGAACAAGAGAGATAAGCTTAAACTCTGACTGCCGGTGAGCCAGGTGGATCAGAGCCATGTTTCTCTTCTTTCAAAAGCCAATAGGAGAAATATCGCTGAATTCTTTTTCTCAGCAAGGAACATCCCTGAGAGAGAGAATGCGTCCCTGAGGGGAGGCCTCTAAAATGGCCGCTTTGAGGGCAGCTGTCTTTTACGGTTGCCGCTGTCTTTTACAGTCGTGGCTGTGGGATGAAATAAGCTCTGGTCTCCCATAGTGCTCCCAGACTTATTAGGACAAGGAAATTCCCGCCTAATAAATTTTGGTCAGACCAGTTGTCTGCTCTCAAACCCTGTTTCCTGATAAGATGTTATCAATGACAATGCATGTCCAAAACTTCATTAGCAATTTTAATTTCGCCCCAGTCCTGTGGTCCTGTGATCTCGCCCTGCCTCCATTTACCTTGTGATATCTTATTACCTTGTGAAGCATATGATCTCTGTGACCCACACCCTATTCGTACACTCCCTCCCCTTTTGAAAATCACTAATAAAAATTTGCTGGTTTTATGGCTCAGGGGGCATCATGGAACCTGCTGACATGTGACGTCTCCCCCAGACACCCAGCTTTAAAATTTCTCTCTTTTGTACTCTGTCCCTTTATTTCTCAGACCAGCTGACACTTAGGGAAAATAGAAAAGAACCTATGTGAAATATTGGGGGTGAATTTCGCCCGATATTATAGTGGACAAAACTGAGCTAAACTGCCTCATCCATGTGATCAAATAACATTAACGATGGCAAAGCAGCTGGGCACACTGGCTCACACCTATAATCCCAGCACTTTGGGAGCCTGAGGTGAGAGGATCACTTGGGGCCAAGACTTAGAGAACAGCCTGGGCAATGTAGTGAGACTCTGCCTCTACAAATGTAAAAGTAAAATTAAATCACCCAGATGTGGTGGCACATGCCTGTAGTCCCATCTACTCAAGAGACTGAGGTGGAGGATCATTCAAGCCCAAGAATTCCAGGCTGCAGCAAGCTTTGTTCACGCCACTGCACTCCGGCCTGAGCAACAGAATGAGACCCTGTCTCAAAAAAAAAAAACAAAAAACTGATACAGCATGTTGACACTATGTACTCTTGTTATAATATCATGAGAATAAAAGTTTCCCTCTGTGGGTTTCCTCTGCTAAATCCACAACAGTCATCCAATCATTAGGAAAACACCAGAGACATCCCAAAGGATTTCAATGATATCAGAAATAAGGAAAATCTGAGAAACTGGCACACGATACCTAAATGTGATGTGGTGTCCTGGGCGGAATCCTGGAACAGAATATGGACATTAGGTGAAAACAGAACATCTGATTAATTGTGAATGTTGGTGAATGATAATGTATAATATTGGTTCATCAATTGCGACAAATGTCTCAAATGAATGTAAGAATTTATGAAAGGGAAATTATGTGCTAAACATATATAAACTCTCTGTATGTACTTCTAACTATTCTGTAAATCCAAACTATTCTAACATAGATTTAAAAAATAAATAATATAAATATATATTTAAAAAATTAAGCTATTGAGCTTACTAAGCAGAACACTGTCGATCTCGTAGCGTCCCAGGTGCTCACCTCCCCATTCCCACCCTTCTTGTTACCCTGGTGAACATTATTATTATTTTTAATTTTCCTTTTCCCATTCGCAAATTTTTCTTTCTTAGTTTTGGTCTCTAAATTTGTATTTGTAAATAATGTCCTGTTTGCTGTTTCTTGTCTTCACAAATAGATAATTACATGTCTCTATCTATATTGCTCAGTAAAATTATGAGAAACATTCAGAGAAATCAAGATTTTGATACATTTTGCAAAATATGTGACCTGCTTTCTCACAAAGTGAGGACTGAGAACCTGTCCCAGATTAAGCAAGACCTGATGTTGGCAGGTGAACTCCAAGATGGTGCAGAATGATCCTCACAGCTTAATTAGAATATCTAATCCTTTCCTTGTGACTTTGGGGAGAACCTGAAACTTGCTATGATACATCAGAAGACTACAACCTGATAGGATGTCACTTGGATCATCATGTTACCTAAGATTATGATACCTGTCTTGCTGCAAGCTCTCTGTCATGGTGGCTTTGATGACACATTCTGCCATGGGAGAGAAGCCAACATGGGAAATAACTGAATGCAGCTTCTGGCCACAGACAGCAAAAAACTGAGGCTCCTGGTCCAGTATCCTGCCCTAGAGGTGGCAATTTATATTTACAACTAATCTAAGCTCCTTTCACATAAAAGTATACAGCCTCAGAAGTAGTGTATCCATCTTATAAAAGAATAGTCCTATTTCTTCCTTTTTCCTGTATTTTTCCTTTTGTCCCTCTTTCCTAACTTTCATTTTACTCATATGTATTATATATATATATATATATATACACACATATCTATATATATATATATACACATATCTATATATATATATATACACATATCTATATATATATATATATACACATATCTATATATATATATCTTATGCTTATGAAAATATAATTACATTAATGGTGCTTTTTTGTTGTTGTTGAAACAGTCTTGCTCATCAATTTACTCTTAATAAAATTACAATAAATTTTAATTTTCTATTCTATAATATACTTTTTTTGAAAACTTCTGAGATTCATATCTCAAATGTTCAATTGTTGTCTTGCTGCTATCAGCTTTTTCTCCCTTTGATGTGGCCTGGGATGATAACTCTATCCTTCAGCTTCTTGTCAGCTCCTGTAACTTTTCTCCTTACTTCTAAATGTTGTTGTGGCTGATGCTGAAATATTTTATCTTAGAGGTCTATAAAAGAAATGTTTTCCTCCAGGATAACCTGATACTATGCTCTTGGGTTTTTTTGTTGTTGTTGTTTTTGGTGTGTCTAAATTTTCACTGTAATCAGGAAATTTATCATGCAGCTACTAAGAGTCATGTATTCCCCAGTTCTATTCAAAACCTTGTACACACTCTTCCCATGTTTCATTAAATTCAAGCACTTTTTATCTTAAGTTGTACTTCCAGATTATCTAAATGGGCTTTCTTCTAAAGAGAGGCAGACACACTAAAAAAGGTTTTCCTTTGACTTTTTGGTAACTGGCTTAAGAAACAAGATTTTACATTTTATCAAGATAGTTCCTATGCTGCCTTTATTAAGTGTTTAATTGCTTTTTAAAATCTCCTGAAATTTGAAAGGGGTAAGGATTTTAAACCCGTGTAACTTTTTCTATTGCCTTTAAAGTCTTTCAATGATCACTTTGGTTAAATGAATAACTATTGATTTACAAGGACCTGTGGTTCAGTTTTGATCAAATATTTTACGCTTTCTCACATCTTTCACAGACATCTCCCAAATTGAATCCTAAATTAAGTCTCTGCCTTATTGCTGGGGCTTATCAAAGCTAAAAAACATTAATCACTGTGAAGTGTATCACCACCTCCAACACCCTGAAAAAGTTCTTATCAGGTGCTATTAAGTAATCTTTGTGGTGTTAAGGTTCAAGGAATTGACTCCTGGATACATGTAGCTCCCCTAAAGGAGAAACAGACTCCTGCCAGCATCTAAGATCAAACTCAACTTAACCAAAGCCTCATCTTTAGACTCAAGCAAAGGCAATAATCAAAGTACACTGCTTTCATGCAACACAGGGACAGGCCTGTATTATACTTTATTTAATAATTTTCCTTCTAACTGAAATAGAAATATATGGAATATAATTTATTCTGTGCCTTAATATTAAATAACTGAAATGTTTATCTACCTATAGGCTTCCTTTCCTGTCACTCATTCTTTTTTTTTGAGATGGAGTCTAGCTCTGTTGCCCAGGCTGGAGTGCACTGGTGCGATCTTGGCTCACTGCAATCTCTGCCTCCAGGGTTCAAGCAATTCCCCTGCCTCAGCCTCCCAAGTAGCTAGGACTACAGGCACACACCATCACACCCAGCTATTTTTTTTTTGCATTTTAGTAGAGACGGGGTTTTACCATGTTGGCCAGGATGGTCTCGATCTCCTGACCTTGTGATCTGCCTGTCTCAGTCCTGTCACTCTTAGGACAAGACAAGGCTTATGGCATTTTTGCTTAAAATGTTCTTAATGGTGAATATTTTGTTTTATTAATATAACCAGAATTTAAAACTGTTCAGTTTCTCCAGACCCAGGGACTATCATGGAAGATACAAATGCATGAGATTGTAAGGGCCGGTTCTTGTGGAATAAAATTAATTCAGATCCCCCAAATAAAGGATGGGAATACAGATGCCTAAACAGCTAAATAAAATACTTATGTTTTGTATAGCTATAGTTCCTATAAGCCAAGATTACAACAGCTCAATGCATAAAATTCAGAGACAATTCAGTTATGCAACCTTATCTTTTGACTTTTAGTTTTTGACTCTTACATTGCTTAAAAGGGGTTTTAAGGATTAATGACTGCCTGCCGCATTCATTCCAGTCTGGCCTACAGACTGGAATTGGATATAATTGGATATAAGACTTTTGATTCTAAGTACCTTGGCCATAGTGGTACAAATAAATATACATAATTAAAAAAATAATAAAAATACAAAAGTATTTTCTGATTACAGTACTCAATGTACACATTTTCTAATTGGTATTTTTTATCTGTCTGAGAACTAAAACCAAATTTAATAATCACTCACCAAAAATAAGAAAAATTAATATCTAATAGAATAGGTGATCTGTACAACGAAATGTCATGTAGACATTTATGGAAGTGAGGTGGAAGGAATTATGGAGTCCAGCCATTGTTTAAATATTTGTATAAGGAGAAGATAAAGCAACATCATGAAGTTCACACCTGCACAGTTATGAAATGATTGCTCCTTCTATTCAGACGTGACTGCTACACAAATCAATGCCTTGTTAACCTTCCACTTGTACAGCAAACTAAGTCATATACAGGAAAGTTTCACACATTTTTTTAAGCATAAGGATCTGAGCCAATTTTGCCTTTTGGTTTCCAGAACAGTTTCTGTCCTTCTCCTTTTCAACCAGAGATATTTCAGAGAAAATTTGCACAAAAACATAAAACAGAGAATATGTAACGTCTGTCTTTTCTAATAAAAGTGATATTCACATTCAATTTAGGAGAGAGAAATATGAGAAAAGATTAAAATAATTAAAAGTGTTCATTGAAAAATAATTGTGAATGCATTTTTAAAACAGAGGACTGAAGACCTTAAACACACAACACAAAAATAAAAATTTGGTTTTAGATGATGTTTATGACAACAAAAAAAGAAAAAAAATATACCCAAGAGTTAAACACATTTGCACAACAAATCATATCAAAACCAGGATAAATATTACAATGCAAGAAATAAAGTCTTAAGGTATCACTGGTCAGCCAGCAGAATCAGTATTGAATAAACTCAGCCTTATTCAAAAGAACTGAATTCCCCACCTCACCAACAGAAAGGACAGGGAGCTGCTGCCCTTGTGCATGGAGACCCCATACAGTGGCTCTGAGCTCAGAGGCTCCCATGTGGCTTTGACTTTGGTGGGCATGGTCTGGAGGAGAAACAACCTGTCACAGGGGCATCTACACCAGTGCAGGAGGTTACTATGGGTGCATCTCAAGGTTTTCACTACTACTGGCTGTTGTTGAAAGTATGTATACATAAACTGGGGAGTGGTGTTGGGGGATTGTCTAAGATTCACAAGGATATTAAGGGATTTAAGAGTCTACAGCAATGTTCTAAGTTCTAAACCAGCCGGGTGCGGTGGCTAACACCTGTAATCCCAGCACTTCAGGAGGCTGAGGTGGGTGGATTGCTTGAAATCGGGAATTCGAGATCAGCCTGGGCAACAAGGTGAAACCCCATCTCTACAAAAAATACAAAAAAAATAATTTAACTGGGCATGGAGTTGTGCACCTGTGATCCTAGCTACTTGGGAAAGTGAGGTGGGAGGATCACTTGTGCCCAGAAGTCGAGGCTCCAGTGAGCCAAGATCTTGCCACTGCACTCCAGCCCAGGTGTAAGAACGAGATCCTGTCTCAAAAAACAATTAAAATTTTTTTTTTAAAAGAAGTTCTAAACCTACAGCTTTACTCAAGGTACAGCTGAAAGTATTGGTGTAGGTGCAAGACATGCAGGTTGTTACATTTTTTACTTCATTATAGAGAAGTACCGTGGCTAAAAGAAGAGGCGCTGGGCCAGGCACAGTGGCTTACACCTGTAATCTTAGCACCCTGGGAGACAAAGCAGGGAGGATTGCTTGTGGCTAAGAGTTCTACACTAGCATGGGAAACACAGGAAGACCTGGTCTCTACCAAAACAAACAAACAAAAATTAATTAACCAGGCATGGTGGCTTGTGCCTGTAGTCCTAGCTATTCAGGAGGCTGAGGGGAGCATCATTTGATCCCAGTAGTTCGAACACAGAATCTGCTCTAGGATTGAGCCACTATACCCTAGCTGGACAACAGGATGAAATCTTCTCTCTCTCTTAAAAAAGAAAAAATACAAAACAATCTCTGGAGAAAAAATTATTGTTCTAGACTCTCTTAATAATAAGACAGTGTGGGCTAGGTGCAGTGACTCACACTTGTAATCCCAGTATGTTGGGAGGCCGAGGCGGACAGATCACCTGAGGTCAGGAGTTCCAGACCAGCCTACTCAACGTGGTGAAACTCCATCTCTACTGAAAATACAAAACAATTAGTCGGGTGTGCTGGCAAACACCTGTAATCCATTACTCAGGAGGCTGAGGCACAAGAATCGCTTGAACCTGGGAGGAGGAGGTTGCAGTGAGCCAGGATTGTGCCATAGCACCCCAGCCTGGGCAACACAGTGACTCTGTATCAAAAAAAAAAAAAGATAATAATAATGATAAGACAGTGTGGAATTTGCACAAAGATAGAAGAAACAACCAGTAACTTAAAAAATAAAAACAGAGCTAGAATGCAGACATATACATATATAAAAATTAATTTATACATTGATGCATTTGGGAAAGATCAATTTTTATTAAAGTGTTCCAGGAAATTGAATATCCATAGGGAACAACCAAGATCTGACCTTTGACCTCACATACACACAAAATCAATTCTAGTTGGTTCATAGGCTTAAATATAAAAATAATAGTGTATTCAGAAAACAATTTAGGAAAATAGCTTCATGACAGAGGGTAAGTTGAGCTGTCTAACTAGACCTGAAAATTATTTACCATGTAAAAGAAGACACATTCTACATAGTCAAAGTGAGCAAAGACTCTGGGGCAGACAGTATCAAACTCAAGGTTCCTTTATACCTGTCCTGTAGAAAGTCAGCTCAGACTCTGAAATGGACCACAGACGTGAAAATCATGCTTACTTCTTGAGATGTCAGTGTGGATTGTATGAAATGGTAACATATAAAGCTTGTAGTATATTATCAACCCTATACTAACCCCTAAAAATTAATTTTCTAATAAATTGCGAGATATATCATTTGCGTCAATTGTAACATGTCATTATTTCATGCACCAGAATGGAAGAACAAAACCACTAACAAATGAAGAAACTAGTACTTTTATCACTTATAAATAAATCACATAGTAATAACATAAATACATTACAATTACTGGAAAAAATATTTTCAATGTGCATACATGTGGATATTTGTCTTGTGTCATTCCTACATGGGATGGAACATACAAGAAAAATACATTGACAAAGGTTTTCCTAAATTTTCTCTCATTGAGATGTAACTCTCCTGAATCACTCTTCAACTCATCTGCTCATGATTTTCCCCATATTATTATCACCTGTGCTAATCTGACGCTTTGGTGATGCGGCACTTCTTGCGAGATTCCTATGTTGCTCCTGTGAGTTTATCTTTCCAACCGTCTGAAACCCCCTACGCAAGACATGATGTTGATGATATGACCTGAAGATGTCAATGGAAGGTTTATAGACCAAGCTCATGTATATGTAAATGAGGACAATCACGTTATGGTCGCCTTCTCGTCAATAATGTTTTAACACTATCAAATTTAAGGTGCATCTGTGGTTCATAAAAGTGAAAATGTGCCCTCTATGATGAATGGAATACACTGTCCTCTGTGACTGCCCATTTCTCAGTGTTAGATTATGATGGCTCATCAACTGTATTCTTATCTGTTATTGAAGAAACATGCTTAAATCTTATCATGTAAGTTTACCAAGTGCATTTACATTCTACATAGCTATTAGAGACATTACAGTTATTAGTGGAATACTATAATTATTCTGTTATGCATGGAAATGTAGTTTTATGAACTATGGTTTAAGAAATCCATTGAGGAAGAAGATAGAAATTATAAAGAGTTACTTGAAAAATTCACTCGAGTGATAGCTTTCTAAAGACCTAGAAAAAGCTGTAAGTTGAAACTTCCCACTGCAATCTTAGGAATTTGACCAATGACCCTTGTAAGCTTCATTATAAATTCCATGCTTTCAGCTATAACATTTATGTAACTCTTTTTTCTTCATTCCCATTTGCTGTTTTAACCATATGGTCGGTGATCATAGAAATCACTTGATAATTAGTCACTGCAGAAGTAGATGCATAATGGTCTTTATAAAATGTTTTAATCTGCCCCCTTGCTACTCTGCTCAACCCTAATTTGGGTACTTGGATTTGAGGATTGGTATTGGTTTTCCCTCAGGAATATACTGATTGAAGGAGAAACACATAAAGTATGAGTTTCTGTACACCCAAAATTCAGTCAACCTCCTAAACTATGGGAGTTTCTTTATGTGTATGCAGAAACTCACATACAAAAACAAAAACTCACATAATTTAGGAGGTTGACTGAATTTTGCCCTACAGTTTTAAATTCCAGCAAGGCTAAATTAAATAAAGATAAAGTCATGCTCTCAAATATCCAAGACATTCTTCCATTGAACTCCAACTTCTAATCAGGTTAGAATGTGGAGACAAAGAGTTGGATGTCTGCCTCATGATCTGGTCTAGAATTTGGTTTCTTTTAAATGGCATCTCTTTTAGAATTGTGGTGTCCAGGCCAGCCTCTAAGGAACAGTTGGTTTAAGATATTGTGGGAAATCACATCTTCCATGCAGTTAGTTTGTCTGAGGACTCATTGCTCAGCACTTCATCAGCTGCTTTCTCCACACACTAGCATCCAACTGCAAAAATTCTGTTGTGTAAAAGATTCATATCCAGGTCTCTGTAAGTAGAGACTGGCCTAAACCAATTTATTAGAAACATTTGTTGTACTCTGCTTACCTGCTACCTTGGTGGCTTTAGGGTTGGCAGTGGGCAACATAATTACACAATGTGAGTGTCAACAGAACCCACGGTCCCAAACGATTCCTGATGGAGTCTGTAGAATGAAAAGAACTAAATTAGAACATATTTTTCTGAATGGTTTGAAGGTACAGTTGTCTTTTGATTACTTGAAGAAGAAATCCCTGTACCAAGAAAACATTATCCTGAATGCAGAAATATGATTTATGTTCCCTGTCACTGAAATTTCTTATTCCTGGCTTCTAATATCTGAGAGTCATATCTCCCAAAAATGCTTCAGTGGGATCCTGAATATACACTGCTAAATGATGTCTACACATGGGGCTTTCTGGGATATGTGAAGGAAAGGCAGCTTTTTCTGAATAGATGGTTGCTGACACTCCAACTGCTGACTGGGTAATGGAGAAGGAGAAAAAGGATGACAGTCCCTGGAGCTTGATGGAGCCCTCTTGAAGCAGGTGCACCTGGGTTTTGAAAGGTGACTAGATAAAAAGAGTGCTACTTTGCTATTCTCTCCCTATGTGCCCATTCATCTCTGGAAGCCAGTTTTTTTATGTCTTTGTTTTCTTTTAAAAAATATAATAATTTTAGCAAACAAATTTATTTTGAAATAATTGCAGATTTACAAAAAGATACACAGGTAGAACAGACAGTTTCATATACCCTTCAGCTAACTAAAATGTTACTATTATAACCATAGTATATTCATGAAAACTAAGAATTTCACTATGTTTCAAAACTATTAATTGATCTACAGACTTCCTTCATATTTTACCAGAATTTCTAATAATGATATATTCATCTGTTCCAAGACTAATCTAGAATACCACATTGCAATTACTGTCAGGTATATTACTTAAGACTTGGTGCATAACAAATTACTATACATCTGAGTGGTTCAAAACCACACACATATTACTCACAGTTTCTCTGGTTCTTCAGTCCAGATGTAGGTGATGGCCCAGGCTATGGCCCATCTGGGGAAAGGTCTCCTTCCAAGCTTATGTAACTGTTCTTAGGATTAACCTCTCTGACCTCATCAAGAAGAATTCATTAGTGAATTATTGGAATCACTTAAACAATTAATACTAATTTATTACAAATTATTCCCATAATGTGGAGAAGGCATGATTTCCCATTGTATACTGATTTAGTTTACTCTGATACCACAACTAGACAAAGACATTTCAAATATGGAAAATGAAGAGCAATATACCTTATGAATACAGGGGCAAAAATCATCAAGGAAATATTAGTAAAACAAACCAGAAACATGTAAAAAGTATTATACACTATGTCAAGGGTATTTACCTCAGAAAAGCAAAATTTAGTTCAACATACAATACAATTAGTGCTATGCACTATATTCATATAATAAAGAAAAAAACCACATAATCATCTCAGAAGTTGCATAGGCACTTGAAAATTCTCAAATTCTCTATGAGAAAAATATGCAGCAAATGAGGCAGATAAGGGAACTCTCTTCCTTTTAAAGAGGATCCATGAAAAACTAACATGTCATCATAGGTTATCTGAAAGGTTCACTAACTTCTCCAAGATTAGAAACAAGACAAGGATTTCCACTCTTGACACTTGTTTTCAACATTGTACTGGAGGATATAGACATGGCAATTAGTCTAGAAAAATAAATATAAGGCGTCCAGTATGGAAAGGAAGTCAAACTATGTCTGTTGGCATATGACCTGATCTTATGTATAAAATTTCCAAAGGGCTCTAATCAAGTATGTTTAGAATTTAGAAATGAGTTCAACAAACTTGCAGTATATAAGGTCAATATATAAAATCCTCTGAATTTCTATATGCTAGCAATTAACAATCTAAAATAAAAACTCAGAATGTTCCATTTAAGATGACATCAAAAATAAGTTTATCAAATTAAGTATAAGATATATACACAAAACTATAGAAAATATTTTCATAAAAAATAAATGGAAAAAAAACTTTGACTATTCATTGCTTATAATGGTTATTGTTGTTAGGCTGGCAATATTTTCCAAATGGTTCTATAGATTTAATGCAACCTCTATCAAAATCCCATGTGACATATCCTTTCTCTAAATTCACAAAGTTTATCTAAAATTCATATATAATGCAATAGACCCAGAGCAGCCTAAATACTTTTGAGAAAGAAGAAAAAATGTTGGCATGGGAGATACATAATTCCTGACTTCAAAACTCACTACAAAGTAAGAGTAATCAAGATTTACGGTACTAGTATAAGAATATAGATGTTGATCAATGTAATAGAATATAATGCTCAAAAATGAATACTTATATTTGTAGTGAAATAATTTTATAATGTCACCAAATAAATTATATATGGATAAATATTTTTACTCAAATATTTCTGAAACAAGTGCATATTCCGTGTAAGTTGAACTGCCTCACACTGAAAATGTAAATGACTCAGAATGATCATATATCTCCATATAATAGCTAAACAATTCCAAAATACAGAAAATAGCACAAGAATACATCTTCGTGGTCTTAGATTAAAAAATCTTTCCTAAGATATGATGCTGAAAGCAAAAGGGAAGAAGAAAAAACAGGTATATTAAATCTCATTAGAATTTGAAACTTTTGTGATTCACGCTACACCATCAAAAATAAAGACGCCCAAAGAATGGGACTAAATATTTGCAAACAAAAGCAAAAACTGGCAAATTAAATCCAATAAAACTTAAGAGCTTGTGCACAGCAGAAGAAAACTATCAACAGAATATACAGACAACTTACAGAATGGGAGAAAAGTTTTGCAACCTATGCGTCTGACCAAGGTCTAATATCTAGCATCTATAAGGAACTGAAACAAATGTTCAAGAAAAAAAAAAACCAACCCTAAAAAAAAGAGGGCAAAGGACATGAACAGACACTTTCAACAGAAGATACATATGTAGCTAACAATCATATGAGAAAACCTCAACCTCACTGATCCTTAAAGAAATGCAAATCAAAACCTCAATGTGACACCATCTAACACCAGCCATCTAACTAATTGGTGGATGTCTCCATTAGTTCAACCATTGTGGAACTAATGCAGTGTGGAGATTCCACAAAGACCTAAAAACAGAAATATCATGTAACCCAGCAATCCCATTACTGAGCATATACCCAAAGAAATAAAAAGTGCTCTATTAAGAAGGCACATGCATGCATATGTTCATTGCAGCCCTACTCACAATAGCAAGAACATGGAATCAGCCTAAATGCCCATCAATGGTGGACTGCATAAAGAAAATGTGGTACATATACAGCACGGAACACTACGCAGCCATAAAAAAGAATATCATGTCCTTTACAGGAAAATGAATGGAGCTGGAGGCTATTATCCTTACCAAACTAACGCAATAACAGAAAACCAAATACCATATTTTTCCCCTTATAAGTCGGAGGTAAATGACGAGAACACATAAACATACAGTGGGGAACAACACACACTGAGGCCTATTGAAGGGTGGAGGGTGGGAGGCGAGAGAGGATCAGAAAAAATAACTAATGGGTACTAGGCTTAGTACATTGGTGATGAAATAATCTACAACAAACCACCATAACACAAGTTTACCTATGTAACAAATGTGCACATCTACCCTGAAACTTAAAAGTTAAATTAAAAACCAAATATTTGCAAATTTTATAGGTGATAATGGTCTATTGTTAACCATATATGACAACATCTTAGAGCTCAAAAATAAAAAGGCAAATATCGCAATCAAAAATGGAAATTATTCAAATACCCAATTCTCTAAAAAAGCTACAGTCATACCCAAATCACACGAAAAGACACTCAATGCCTTTTGCCATTATGAGGTAGGAGACCGGCAGGCGGTTTTCTGGTCACAACCCTGCTGATCAAAACAAGATCTGGTCCAGACAGCATACAGTGAAGAAACAGGCAAACAGACACACAGGGATCCCTGGTTGTCTTCACTGCTCACTGGCATGAGACATTCCCTCCAGCACCATGACTGTTTATAAATTCCATGCCAACAACCTGGAATTTAACCACCTCTTTCCATGGCAACAACCCAGAAGTTACTGCTCCTCTCCTAGAAAGTTCTGAATAACCTGCCCATCAAGTTTCATTGATCCACTCCTCAATTTACATGTAATTGAAAGTGAGTTTGCCTTAGTGTAAAGATAGTTGACAAGAGCCCATAGGTTACCAACCGATGCGATGCCTATGAGTTAGCCCTGCTCTTTAAGGAGCAGTACTGTTCAATAAAAGATTGCTGTCTATCACCACTGTCTTGCCCTTAAATACTTTCCTGGGCAAAGCCAAGAACCCTGCCAGCTGAAGCCCCAAATTTGGGGCTTACCTGTCCTGCAACAATAGGGGAAGGGAAGTCTAAAAAAACATGATACGTACTTCAAAAATCTAAAAGGTATATTGCTATGTGAAAAAATATAAGTTGGAAAAGGCAAAATACTGTGTAATTCCACCTATATGATTCTCTGGAAAAGGAGAAAAGTATAGTGATAGCAAAGAGCTCAGTGGTAACGAGGAGCTTGGGAGAGAGAAGGTGGGATGCGTGAAATACAGGAGGTTTCTTTGGGGCAGTGAAATTACTCTCTCTTATACTGTAATGTTGGATACATAATAATGTTTTCCGAATCCTGAAGAACTTTATAACACAAACAGTGTATCTAAATTATGCAAGTTTAAAACCTTATTTAGTAGGTAGAGGGTTTCCAAGGAGGAATGCCCAAAAAAATAATATAACTATGTAATGAATGTATGGAATAGCCTCACTAAAGAAAGTGGAGGAAAGCAATGGACCTAAGTAATTTGGGAAATAAGTGGACATTCTGAGGGTAAAGGCCAAAGTATTTATACTTAAGTACTGTACTTTGCTTGGTAAAATTGTCTCCCATTGGGGTATAAGTTACCAGTTCTGAAACCACTCTGCATGGATGTTCAGGTAGTACGATTAAGTGAACAGCATCAACTTCTTCACAGGGAGAGTAAGAGACTACATACATCATTCATATGGTGCTGGATTAGATCATATGGTATTGGAAACATTAGTAGAAATTATACAATCATACAATTAGCCTGCAGTACAATTAAATACACAGTTAGCCTGGAGCACCTAGTAGTGGTTAAAGAAAAGAAAATGCTAAACAACAACAAAACCAACCAATCATACAACATTGAACCTTAATTATGTGGGTATTTCAAAATTATACCAGAGACAACTAAAAAACCTTCCAATAGCCAACCATGAAACAATCTGAGCAATCAAATAAATTAGCATATATAAAGTACAAAATAAATATCCATGTTTAGATGATGATATAAATAATTTATGTATAAATGAATAAATTTGTAGTAGAATAGACATGCTTACGGTTGAGAGTTCAAATAAATTTGTAGACATTCTGCCAATAAAAAGGTAGATCGTGAATCCCCACTTTTTTTTTTTTTTTGAGATGGAGTCTGGAGTCTCGCTCTGTTGCCCAGGCTGGAGTGCAGTGGCGTGATCTCAGCTCACTGCAAACTCTGCCTCCCAGGTTCAAGTGATTCTCCTGCCTCAGCCTCCCGAGTAGCTGGGAGTACAGGCATGTGCACTGTGCCTATCTAATTTTTGTATTTTTAATAGAGATGAGCTTTCCCCATGTTGGCCAGACTGGTCTCGAACTCCTGACCTCAGATGATCAGCCTGTCTCAGCCACCAACAGTGCTGGGATTACAGGCGAGAGCCATCGTGCTTAGCCCATGACTCCCCACTTCTTAAATGCATGTTGTGTTAGTGACTTTGTTCTGAAACATTCTGTGGGGAAAGGGAAAAATAATAATTTCACCATGTGTGATAATTTGATAAAAATGACCTCATCTAGGTGATCAAATTAACATTAACAGTGATAAAGCCTGTTGAGAGCCTATGCCCTTGGTATGATGTGAGGAGAATGGCACCTTTCCTCTGTCATCTTCCTCTCCTAAACCCACACATCTTATGATGAAAAAAACCTCAAGAGAAATCCCACATTAGGAATGTCAATATCATCAAAAACTAGGAAACGCTAAGAAACTGCAATAGTCAGAGAAATCTAAGGAGACATGATATTTAACTGTGCTGAGGTATCCTGGAGGAGATCCTGGAATAGAAATTAGACATTAAGTGAAAACTAAGAAAATCTGAATAAAGCATGAAGAGTAGTTAATGATACTGTTTAAAATTGGTTAATTGTGACAAATGTCTGAAATTAAGAAGTTAATAAAAAGAGCAACTGTAGTGGGATATATGGAAAGTCTATGTATTGTATTTAAAACAATTCTGTAAATCCTAAATGACTCTTAAATGTATAAAGTTTCTTTTTATTTAAAGTCACTGCTGACTTTATAAAATAGAACATGAGGAATATGTTGATAGCTGTTAATGGAACTCCTTAGCTTCATCATCTTCCTTAATCACTGAAGGTAACTATTACTGTGAATTTGTTATCCTCTAATTTGTGTTTGTTATATTTATCTCTATGTTTATATTTCTAATATCCATAATGTTTAGTTTTTCTTGTCTTCAAACTTAGATGACATGTGTTTAATGTATACATGTCCCTAGTTTAATCATGAGAAATCATGAGACAAATCCATACTGTGGGACATCTTACAAAATATCTGACCTGTACATTTCAAAAGGGTCAAGGTCAAGAAAAATAAGTGAAGACTATGAAACTTGCAGATTGGAGAGGACCTAACGTGTCAGTTAGACCCTGCAATGGTGCCCAACGATCCCCACCTGCAAGAAATACCTGTGCTTTGTTGAGTTGCCTCCTCCGTGGCTCACATGACCAACACATGTGAGCTCAACTTTTTTCGAACTCAGAGCTCTCCTAGATAGCGGCTACATTGGTGGGAATGGAGTGGACACAGGTCGAACAAGTGCCACAAGGGTGTCTGACAGTATAAACAAATATCCTGTGAGAAGGATGCTGGGTCAAAGATTGTACACTTATGCTTTGGGGTATCCACCAGGATAAATAAGTATCCCATGAAAGGCACACTGTAAACATCCAGGACACAGTTTCCTGGAGTCCTGTTGGGCAGGGTGATAATTTATAGTCACTGTCCCTAGAGAGACCTCAAGAGATTATTAGACATAACAAAAATACAAGAGATGTAGAGGTGATTTTATAAATTGTGGCTCAAAGATCCCATAAGAAGGAAGATAGAAATGGTAAAGTGTTACTTCAAAGTTTGCAGCAGAGTGCAACTCTCTGAAGACAGAAAATCCTGTATCTTGAGATTTAATCTTAGAAATATAAGCAGAGTTTATTCTAAGTTGCTTTCCAAATCCGATTCTTCATCCAGATCAACTGCATATTTTTTTCCTCCCTCCCCTTTTATCCTTCGTATCCCATGAACGACGGTCATGTGAATCTCACTGTAAGCAGGGACTGCAGATGCCTGTGCATTGCTGTTTTCACGAAATGCCTTGCTCTGACCTCTTGTTACTCTTGTCAGCCCCACTTGCCGATACTTAGAAAATGAAACAGGCTTTGGTGTTCCCTAAAGAGTTTACTGAATGAAGAGGAAACTCATATAACGTATAATTTAGAATGTTGAGCATATTTGCACTGAGAGTTTCAGCTTCTACAAGGGCTCAATTCAGTGAACATGAAGCCCTAATCTCAAGTTTAGGAGTCATGCACCCTTTAAATTTTATTCACTATTCAGACTAGAGGGCGGAGACAGAGTTGGGTTCTTGCCTAAGGACGTGGTCAGATGATGAGGTGTTTTCAATGGCATCTTTCTGAGAATTCTGGTGGCCAATCCAGACTCAGTACAAATCATATTTTCCAAGCTATCATGCTAATGTTTGGGAGCTGAGTGCTCAGCACTGTGTCCTCTGTGACTGGGACATCATGGTAGCAGAGTTTTATGTGTAATCACTTTTCCAGTCTTAACCCTGAGCACTCAGAGCTCATTGACCCCCTTTGCCACCTAGAGATGAGTCTGTCCTTCTACACATCTACTTCTGTCTACTTCATGGCCTGCCACTGGATTTCTTTCTTCTTTTTTTTTTTTTTGCTGAAGAATTTACTCATGGATGATCTTCACAGTACACATCATAATAGACCACATGTATGCATTGAAATGAAGAGGAAAATGGGATTGTACAAGTCACTTACCTTATAGAAACTCCTGTTATAATGAAAGAAAAAGAGCAAACCCCCATGACTTAAGATTGCCAATTTAAATGAAACCATCCTTTCTGATGGGGTGAACTGTAAGATTAGAGGGGTAAGAAGGTTTACTGAAATATAAATGCCCCAAATAATAGCACCTGAATTACTGCTACAGTCTTCTGAGAAGTAAGAAATATGGTCAAGGTCAGCTGTGTCTCTCATTGTAGGTCTCCAGGATGCAGGAGTTTGTTTTTTCACTGTAGATATGAACATGGTATGGAGAATGTAGCCCATGATCACAGTCTGAAAACGCAAGAGTCTTGACTTTGTGGATGTCCTTGGGAGTGTAGTATGCAGTCCCATGGCTTAGTAAGCTTTGTGGGCATGGTTCCTGGAACATCCCTGGTGTTCCTCTGTAAAGTGGTGTGGCCTGTGAACAGGGAGCTGTGTTGGGGAAGAGGGGACAGTCCTCCCCGCTGTGGGGATCTTTGTTTAACCAGCACATTTGAAGAGTCAGCACTCGGCCTGTGTCCATCTCTTAGATCACTGCATGGTGGGCTGGTGTATGTTGTACTGTGCTGTTCGTTCCTTTTTTCTATTAGGCTATTTCCACCTCTGCACAACACACCCTGTATCACTAACATGCCTCACTTTCATACATCTGATGTCTAAAGGTTCATTTCCACATCTTTTTGAGCAGGAATTAACCTACAACTCCATGATTATAATTTTTCTTCATATCTAGTTAACTTTCTTCCATGATAATGTTATTCTGTGGCTTTTGGGCTTGTCGCTTGAAATGGTTTGGCTGTGTCTCCACCCAAATCTCACCTTCAATTGTAATAATCCCCATGTGTCAATGGCAGGGCCAGGTGGACAAAACTGAATCATGGGGGCAGTTTCCCCCATACTATTCTCATGGTAGTAAACAAGTCTCACAAGATTTGATGGTTTTATAAATGGGAGTTCCCCTGCACAAGTTCTCTTGTCTGCCACTATGTAGGATGTGACTTTGCTCCTCATTTCCCTTCTGCCATGATTGTGAGGCCTCCCCAGCCATGTGCAACTGTGAGCCAGTTAAACCTCTTTCTTTTATAAATTACCCAGTCTTAGATATGTCTTTATTAGCATCATGAGAACAGATCAATATACCACAGGACAATATAGATCCATGATGTGAGTGTCAAGAGAATGTCTGGTCCCATAAAATCGTTATGGAGTGTGCATGACGAAGAAAACTGAATTATTACAGTGTTTTCTCAAAGGCTTAAGGCATCCTTTTCCTTTAAAACTTGGGGAATAAAAGGAATCCCTGTACTAAGAAAACACTCTTAATTCAGAACTATTTATGTTCACCATCACTGGCGTTTCTCAATCTTCTCTTCTAATGTCTGGAAGTCATATCTTCTAAAATGTCTTTATAGTGAGATCCTACAAAGACACTGCCAGAAAGTGCCTGAATACAGGGCCTTCTAACATATGTGAGAAAGGCGTCTTTCCTTGAAAAAGTGGTTATGAACACAATTGATAACTGGGTAATGGGAAGTGTGATGGGAAAGAAGAAAGTGGATGAGTGTCCCTGGAGCTTGATGGTGTCTTTCTGAAGCAGGTGCCCTGTGTAGGAACGGGGGATAATAAGGCAAGCTACTTTGCCATAGTCTCCTATATCTCCATTCATCCTCTGATCTGTGGTTTTATTGTGGTTTAAATCTGTCTTTGTTATTGTTGTTTTATTTTCTGGTACCTGAATATTACATTTCAAGAAATATTTTTATTTTATCATAGTTTTAGTTTTATAGAAAGTAGTAAAGATAATAGAGTTTCGTATATCCTACAGCTTCCTGAAATGTTAACACCTTATATCACCATAGCATATTTATGAAAACTCAGAAATTGACAGTGGTACAAAACTATTAACTGGAAAAGATTTTCTTTATATTTTACCAGCTTTTCCACTAGTGTCATTTTTCTGTTCTAGGGTCTAATCCAAGATACCACATTACATTTACTGTCAGGCATATAACTGACCGATTGTTGTATAATATATTACTACATAGTTTAGACTTTCCAACCCAGCCCTACACAGTACTTACAGTTTCTCTGGGTCAGATGCCTGGCAGAGATTTCAAGGGAAGGCTCATCTGGGGAAGGATCCCCTTCCAAGCTCCTGGGATTCTTGGGAGGATTCAATTTCTGTCCAGGTCAAGATGACTTCACTGGTGAGTTATTCAAAGCCTTTTGGGAATTAATAACAATCAATAAAAACAGACTAGTAAAGAACCTTTCCTAATGCAATGTATGAAGCCAGTGTTCCCTGACACCACAGCTAGACAAAGACATTTCAAGAAAAGAAAATTACAGACCAATGTGAAACAGGTAAAAAGTATCAAGGAAATATTATCAAAATTAACTAGTAACATATAAAAAGGAGTATACACTAGGAGCAAAACTATTTATCCCTGCAATGTAAGTCTGGTTAAACATACAAAAACAACTGGTGTTATAAAATATACTAATAGAATTTTTTAAAAAGACTCATGGTCACCTCTAAAGACACAGAATAGGCATTTGACAAATTCCAAACCCATTCATGATAAAAGCTCTGGGAAAATTAGGCATAGAAGAAAACTTTCTAAATCTACAAAGAGCATCCATGGAAAACTCACATAACATGAGGAAAGACATATAAGCCAACAGAATAGAGTTGAGCACCCCAAATCAATCTTTATATATAGGGCAAACTTATTTTCAAGGTTGAAAAATTAATTCAAGATGAAAAAATAGTTTTTCAACAAAAGTTGCTGGGAGAAAGGGATATCCACATGCAAGTTAAACTGTTTCCTGCACCATATATGTATTTGACTCAAAATAGAATATGTGGCTAAATGTAAGAGCTAAAACTAAAAATCCCACAGAAGAGAACATAAAAATAGATTTTCATGGCCTTACGTGAAACAATGGATTCTAACATGTGACACAAAAGTACAAGTGACAGAAAAAAAAATAGATACATTGAACTTCATGTGGATCAATACCTTTTAAGATGCAAAGTACACCATCAAGACAACTGAAATAACGGAAGAAGATATTCTCAAGTCATATAACTGTTAGGAGACTATTATCCAGAATATATGAAACATTCAGGCATGCACCACCACCCCTGGCTAATTTTTGTATTTTTAGTAGAGATGGGGTTTCGCCATGTTACTTAGGCTGGGCTCAAACTCCTGGCCTCAAGTGATCCACCCACCTGAGCTTCCCAAATTGCTGGGATTACAGGCATGAGCCACTGTGCCAAGCCTCGTTCTTCATTATTATTTTCTAAATTTGTATTTCTAAATAATATATTGTTCAGATATTTTTTATCTTCTACTTTAGATAAATACGTGTATAAATGAATGTTTAATCTTACTCAAATTATGAAAAAATATAACAAATCCATATTGTGATACATCCTATGGAACACCTGACAAGTTCTTTTCACTAAGATCAAGGGCAAAAAAATAAGTGAAGACCCAGAAACTGATACAGATTAGACAGGGCCTGATGTGGCAGGTAGGTTCTAAGATGCTTTCCAATGATCCACACCTCTAGATATGCAGAACCCTATTCTAATATCCTCACTGTGAGGTTTAGACATGCCATACCACATGTATAAACAAACACAAAAGGGGCAAAGTGTATGGAACAATGGTTTGTAGAGAGATTATATCAAAGAGTGAAGGACAGTGATACCTGAGGCATACAATACTGTGACATGAGCTCTACCATTGCCTCAAGATACCACCTTGGGAGATCTTCCAGGCTGTGGTGTGGCATGGACTTTGGAAGACACTGTGAGTTGAGAAGATGGAACTGAGAGTCGAGTACAGACTGGCTGGATCGCATCTAGCAGTTCTTGACATCCAGTGGTAAGAATGGGAGACAGCATCCATGTCAGCATCCATGCAGGCTGGACTGCTATTGTCATCATTACTCACTGAAATATGGTTCACAGAAGTACAGGAGCAACGCAGAAACAAAGGCAAAGACACAAAGAAAAGTTACTTGAATGAAGATTTAATATTGTACAAAGACTGACGCCTTTACATGTTGTACCAAAACCAAGGCTTAAAAAATAACCATTCGAGATAAAGTAAATGATGTGTATAAGTCGAATAAACCAACCAAGTGGACACATACCTACTCTTACTATACAATTTTCATACATGTGGCTGATAAACTCACTATATTATAAAATAATGAAAGTGGAGCTTTCTATTTATAAGAGCAGAACAAAATTATCAGAAAAATAAAGATTAAAAATATTTTTACCTCCATTTGTTTTCCTATAAAACCTTAAGTTTGCTTTATATTTGGAAAATAATTTGTCACTTTCTTCACTACATCAATTGCACTGCCATTCTAGTTTGCATGGAGTATAGGGTTGCTATTTATATGCAGTAAAATTAAGTTAAATGGTGCCAGGCTGCAATATCATAGATGAGGGGTTGTTATTATTTTTGTTATTTTAACCAAGATCTGTCATTGAAACTCTCCATGGACAGTATTGAAGCCAAGAGACCCTGACTGCAGCCCTAACTGGAAAATCAAATGCCCATCTACTGATTTGGAGCACTTGTAAAATATCAGTGTTCACGCTCTCTTGGCTGCTCACATCTCATAAATCTTGGACACATGTCCCCTATGTCCCCAGAATAATTTTAGAGCATTATATTGACTATTACCTTTCTTGTACAGTAGACATGTGTTATTGAGTTTCAGCGACTCATTCTGTATGAATGCTTCACTCACAAGAGGATGTGTTGTCAACATAGTCGTGTTGGAATTAAGGCACTCCTCAGTGCAAGCTCTCAATAAATTCTGGTCTGTTTGTTGGAGTCCTGCTAAATAATATCTGAAAATGGGGCTTTTTGAGACATGCAAGTAATAGGCATCTGTCTTTCAAAAACTGGTTACGTAGTTAGCACCAGATGCTAAAACTGGTGACTGAAAAATGCAGAATATGATGAAGAAGATGAAAGAGGACGAGTCTCTGGATCTTGGGGGGGATCTTCCTGAAGCAAGTGTACCTGTGTTCCAGTTGGTAAATCGATATGGAAAGATGCTTTGCTATTCTCTCTCTACGTGCCCTTTCATCTCCTGAGCTGAAGGTATTCTGTTTGTGCCTTGGAGTTATTTTCATAACACATTTAATGCTTTCTTCAAAAACATTTTTTCTTTGAAATAATTTTAAATACACAGAAATATGCACAGATAGTAGAGAAAGCTTAGATATCTTTGGATTACATGCAATGTAATAGATTATGTATCCATGAGCCCTAAAAAATAGTTGGCACAAAACTATTTATTGAAGTATAGGCTTTTTCCATATTTTACTCGGCTTTTAAGTAATGTCATTTTTCTGTCCAGGATAACACATTGCATTGACTGCCAGGTGTATTATTTATTACTGAATAATAAATTCTCACATACTAAGTGGCTCTTACTCACAGTTTCTCTGTATCATGAATCCAGATGTCGATGATGGCCAATGAGAAGGTCTCAAGTGAAGTTTCAGCTGGGGAAGGATCCTCTTCCAAGTTCGTGTGATTGTTGTTAGGAGTCAAGGCCCTGTGCTGGTTGAGATGACTTCACTGGTGAACTATTCCAAACCTGAAAATAATTAATAACAATCTATCACAAACTCTTCATAAACACTTAAACAACAGTAAAAGTGGAGAAGAGATCACTTTCTGATGTATACTATTAGTTGGTTTACACTGATATTACAACCAAAGCAAGACCTTTCAAGAAAGAAAAATTAAGACCAATATGTTTTATAAATAAAGGGTAAATGTCTTCAATAAAATGCTAGCAATACAAATCAGCAAATGTAAAAAGAATTATACACCATCAAAAAGGGTATTTGTCTCAGGAATGCAAATTTGGTTTAACATACAAAATAATTAGTATCATACCTTATAACAATAAAATAAAAAACAAAAGCCATATGATCATCTCAAAAGATGCAGGAAAGGCACCTGACAAATCCAAAATCCATTTTTGATAACAGTATACAACAAATTAAGCCTATAAGAAAAGTTTCTTTATTTTAAAGGGCATCCATGAAAAAATTAGTATCATCATAATTTAATTTAAAGGCTCAATAATAGTATAAACTTGGACATACAGATCAAAGGAATATAGTAGAATTGAATGTCCAAAAATTAATCTTTACCTTTATAGTCAAATGATTTTATAAAGTTGCCAAGCCAATTCAATATGGAAAAATATATTTGTAACAAATGTTGCTAGGACAATTGAATATCCACAAGGAAGTTGAACTTCTCACTCACACCATATACATAATTGGCTCAAAATAATCATATACCCAAATGTAAGATCTAAATAGACCAAACCCTTAGAAGATAATATAGAAATACATAATTTGGGTCTTAGGTTAAACAATAACTCCTATAATTTCTAAGATAGGATACTTAAAGCCCAAGAAAAGGAAATAAAAAACATGAATATATTTAACTTTATAAGAATTAAAATCTTCTGAGATTCAAAGTACATGATTAAAGGTAAAAAGATAATGCAAAGAATAGAAGAAAATCTTCACAATCACATAGCAGAAAAGAATATATTAGCCACAATATATAAAATATTTTACAACTCAAAATAAAAAGTTAAATATCACAATCAAATTGGTGAACTATCTGAATAGACATGTATCCAAAGATACTATAGTCACGTCTAGTAAGCACATGATATGAGGCCTAAGCCTTTTGTCATTAGGAAAATGCAAGTCTAAACAACCATGAGATACACTTCACAAATCTAAAGGGTATATTGCAAAAAAAAGTAAATTTAAAAAGGCAAAATACTTTGTGTGATTTCAGTTATGTGACACTCTGCAATGTGAAAAAGTAGAGAGATACTAAAATGTTTGGTATTTACTAGGAGCTTGGAAAAGAGGCAGGTCAAACTGGTGAGGTACAGCAGATTTGCTCTAGGCAGTGAAATTATTCTGGTATCATATACTGTAATGATAAATACATGATTATATTTTCCAAATCCTAAATAATTTTATAATACAAAAGGTGAACTTAAAATATACAAATTAAAAACTTTCTACAGTAGGTAGCAGATAGCATGGGGCTATACACATAATGGAATGAAATAACACATCAGTGAAATAACCTCACTGAATGGAGTGGGGGAAAAGCAGCTGACCCAAGGAACGTAGCAAGTAAGTGGATATTCTGAGTCTAAAGGGTAAAGATTTATCCCTAAAAACTTTAGTTGGTAAAGTTCTTTCTCATGGCCATATACATTTCTAATTCTGAAACCACTTACACAAGTCTTCCGGATTATGTGATTAAATAACAGAAGCATCTTTATCACTGTTAGTGTGGTAGGCTACATACAAGTAAGCGGGAATAGGTGCGCTGATTCATGTGGTACTGGATTAGATCATGGGGTGCTGGAGGATTATTAGGAATTCATGTTTAACTTAAAGATACAGATATATGAGAAAATATTTGTGTGTGTGTGTGTTTCTGTGTGTGTGTGTGTGAATCAGTGTACATAGATGTATTTGCTCTGTCAGCACACAAGATCACGAATCAACAGATGCCCCAGGAGCAATGAATATGCCAAGAGCCCAGATCTCCATTTCTAATTCAATTTTCCAATAAGAAGAACTAGGGCTCTGTGGAAAAAATGGTTAATACCAGGCTTGTGAGGAAATCCACACAATTAGCTTAAGTACCTAGTAGTGCCAGAAAAAATAAAGCACCAAACAACAGAGCAAACAACTAACCAACCACATAACAACAGCAAAGCTTCATTATGGTAGTGTTTCAAAATGACAAACGATCCAACTGAAAGACCTTCCAATAGCCAACACTGCAACAATTTAAACAAATAAATGAAGTAGTAGAAGGAAAGAGTAAAAGAAATATCCATGTTTGCATACTGATAAAAATGATTGCACAAATATAACGATTATTGGAGGAGAATAGACACTTTCAGGATGAAAGTTCCAAATAACTTTTGGTAAACATTCTGCTCATAAAGTGGAGCATTTTTTGTTTTGTTTTGTTTTTTGTTTTTCAAAATGGAACATTCGAGACTTTGTTAGTGTGCCTCACCTGCTTAGAAAGAGCAAAACAATATCTAGAGATTCACACTGTGAATTTGTATCCAACAATCACAGGAACTCAACAGAAAAAGTGAAAGAATCTTTGGATACTTTGAAAGGAGCAGCAGGCAGCAACTTGCACCATGTGTCAGATGGGAAATTGAGGCTTCAGAGTGCAAAAGGAGGAGACTCTCTCTGTGATACATTCCCACTGGGGAACCAGGCAGTCCAGGTCACAGGGAAGCACCTTAACCCTGCCCAGCGCTGGAGCTGACTTAGAGAGGAGGGGACCATGAAAGAAGGAGTGGCACCTGGGTGTGCTGCGTGTGCACTCCCAGATCCCAGCAGGGACAGAAGGAAGATATTCCTGACCCTGATTCATAGAAGATCTTGCAGAAATCAGCCAAGTAACCCAGGCAGCAGTCATGCACTGGAAGAAGCTCCCAACTGAGGGAGAAGCTGACCAACTAAGATTTGCATTTGATCTAATATTGAGCAGAGGATCAACCCCTTAAGGCCTGAACCAAGGGGCATGCAGGAAGCGTTCTTGTGCCAGGGTCATGGGAGTTGGGTACTGCTGCTTCACAGGTCAAATCAAGGGGTGTGGCCTCAGAGCTACTGTTTCAGTTTCAGTCTCCAGTGGGAAGTCTTGCAGCCTGGGGCAGGTTTGTGTTCTCAGCCTAGACTGCCTGAGACTTAGCTGACTGTCGTGGGTGTTTGCCAGCAGAAGTCTGCATGTGTAAGACCTTCTGTGTCAAGGTCGTGGGAATTGACCTGCCACTTGCTACCCCTCTCTCCATGTACAGACTCTCATGTGGCAGAGGGTGTTCTCCTTCCTGGAACATTATCCCAGTGGTCAGGGAACTGTACACTGACCCCCATTAAGGCTTCTGCTTACACCCACACTTGGAGAGGCAGAGTATGGACTTTCCTGACCCAGCCCACACTCGGCTTTGCCCCTCTACCTGTCCTAGTAGCAGAACAGGAACAGGGACTTTTCAGACTTCCGTGTCACTTCCCATCAGCTGACTACTTCCCCTGGGTAACAAAGGTTAAGCATAAATCCCACCACCATGACTGCAGCTGGCTCTCTCCTGCAAGTGCCACCTTCTGGCCCATGGTCAACCAACACAGTCCATTACAACATCTGCTGGCACACTAACATGATACTGGTATAAATGTAGACATACAGACCAGAGGAACAGAACAGAGACCCCAGAAATGAAGCCAAATACTTACGATTAACTGATTTTCAACAGAACAGACAAAAACATACACTGAGGAATGAACACCCCATTCAATAAAAGGTGCTGGGAAATAAGCCACATGCAGAAGAATGAAACTGGATCCTTATCTGTCACCATAAATAAAAATTAACTCAAGATGGATTAAAGACTTAAATGTAAGACATGAAACCGTAAAGACATTGGCCTAGGCAAACCTAAGACCCCGAAAGCAACTACAACATCAACAAAAACAAATTAATGGGACTTAGCGAAACTGAAAAGCTTCTGCACAGCAAAAGAAATAATCGACAGAATAAAGAAACAACCTACAGAATGGGAGAAAATACTTGGAAACTGTCCATCCAACAAAGGACTAATTCAGAATCTACAAGAAACACAAACAAATCAGCAAGAAAAAAATAACTAACCCCATTAAAAAGTGGGGAGATGACATGAACAGGCAAAAGAAGACATACAAATGGCCAGAAAACATATGAAAAAAAAATGCTCAACATCACTGATCATCAGGGAATGCAAATTAACATCACAATGCGATACCAATCTTACCCCAGTCAGAAGGACCATTATGAAAAAGTCAATAAATGATAGACATTGGTGTGGATGAGGTGAAAAGGGAATGCTTAGACACCCTTGGTTGGAATGTAAATTAGTACAACCTATATGGTAAACAGTATGGAGATTTCTCAATGAACTTTTAAAAGCAGAGCTACCATTCAATCTAGCAATCCCACCACTGGGCATGGACCCAAATGAAAAGAAGTCATTCTATCAGGTGCCACTTCCAGTCTTCCTGACCCCGCAATTCGGGGGTTTCAGGCTCGGGACAAGTGCAGGGTTCTCCATAAAGGCAGCCTCGGTGGTGGACCCGACCCCTTGCAGCCCCACACAGAGGGAGCGGAGGGGCGCGTTCTGCAGCCTGCTGCACAAGATAAAAGGCAAATTCCACCTGGTGAGCAAGAGGCCCATGTGGCAGCTCCGCTGGGGCTGGGGGAGTACAGGCGAGAGTGGCTGGCGGCCTGGCGCATATGTGTCAGTGGAGCACATGCTCAGAAAACTGGGGCAGACAGGCAAAGGTGTTGGTCGCACAGACTTTGGTTCAGGGGGTCAACACACTGGCCAGGGATGTGGCCCATCACCTAGTCTCTGGAAGCACTTTGTGCTCCTCGCTCGGCTTCCTGTTACAAATCATGACAACATATTTCAGAGGACTTTGGGGAAATTCGCCCTCTTGGCACCGTCAGGTTGGTTCTTGGTGGCATTCCGCCGGGGAAGGGAGGAAGTGAGAAATCCGGGTTAAGTTAGGTGTTGCTGCCCAGCGGGAGACCCGAGTCTGCCTTCTTCCTGGGCCTGAGTGAAGTGACATGGCCATTGCCAGGGCTGGGGTCCAGGGAAACCTGTTTCTGGTGTCACTGTGCTCTGCACCAAGTAGAGAGAAATGTTTTTAAGGAGTTGACAACTCCTGAGAAAGCATTTCAGTGGTTACTGGAGGACTTGCACTCTGGAAATGCAGAGAACCCAGGACTGCTGCCAGGATTAACTAGGTGACTACACACGAGAGGGCAGACAGAGCCTGGCTCATTTCAGTACTCTGCATGGGTTATTTGCCACCATCAGCTGTGATGGGAACATGTGGTGATTGCTTCAGGAGATGACAGTGGCCCTGACGAGTCTGAGAATGGGAGGTCCCAGATCAAGGCGCCAGCAGGTTTGGTGTCTGGTGACAGCCCACTTCCTGGCTCATAGTCAGCGGGTTTCTCTTGTGCTGGCATCTCTCTCACTCCTAGGCTAGGCTCCTTCTGCAAACAATTGTTAGCTGCCAACCCCTAAGGGCCAGACAATACATTTGCAAATTACAACCTGGCACACCCAAGGTAGCAGGAGGAGAAAGAGCAACTTTTTGTCTTGGAAGCCAAGCTTCGTTGTTGGCTGGCACCCAATGTGCATTTCAGGTTTTTATGGTTCCTTGTCTGAGGTTATTGTAGCTGATTCCCAGGGTATTCTAATCTAAGAAGCAGTGAGTGAGCAGTGACTTAGAAGCAGTCAGTGAGCCTGAACTTTGCTAACTGGAAGGACTGGCTGTTCCCTTCCCTTGCCTTCCAGTCTCTCTCCCTGACTGCCGTGTACAAGACAGCCCCACCTGAAATAACTGAAGGCACTTCAGTTCTGTGTTGCTTTTCCTTGGAAAACATGGGTAAGATCTTAAAAAGATCCTGGAAGTGTGTCTCTGTGGCATGCATCGAGGTACGTATCCTTCCTTGAGGTGTGTTAGTTTCATCTTTCAGTACTCAGAGTTGTCTCCATAGTGCCAGGGAGGGAGGAGGTGCCAAACCCTGTGCTCAGCCAGGATGCCCTGGCCTGGCCACGCCTTCTGAGGCTTCCACAGACCTAAGAGGGACTAACAGCTGGAGTCAAAATGTTCCTGTCACTGACGCCCTGCTTCCGGAAAGGAGATCCAGAAGGAAAAAGAAAATATGTTGGGACATTTTTTTTTTTTTCTTAGCCACATCCTTTGGGGGTTGGGGTGGGACAAAATAAACGTATGTTCAAGAAGACAGTCTATGCTGAAAATGACACACAGTGTAACCACCTAGTGGGTTCACCTTGCCTGCTGCCTAAAAGAGTTGATTTATCAAGACAGGAAAATTGCAATATAAAAAGAGTAATTCACGGAGAGCCAGCTGTGCAGGACACTGGAGGAGTTTTATTATTACTCAAATCAGTCTCCCAGGACATTCAGGTATCAGTGTTTTTAAGGATAATTTGGTGGGTGGGGGAAGGCTAGTGAGTTGGGAGTTCTGATTGGTCAGATCAGAGATGGAATCACAGGGAGTCCAAGCTGTCCTCTTATGCTGAGTCAGTTCCTAGGTGGAGGCCACAAGATCAGATCAGGCAGTTTATCCACCAGGGTTGTGCCAGCTGATCCATCAAGTGCAGGGGCTGCAAAATACCTCAAGCACTGATCTTTGGAGCAGTTTAGGGAGGGTCAGAATCTTGTAGCCTCCAGCTGCATGACTCCTAAGCCATAATTTCTAATCATGTGGCTAATTTGTTAGTCCTACAAACACAGTCTAGTCTCCAGGTAAGAAAGAGGTTTGTGTTGAGAAAGGGCTGTTACTGTCTTTGTTTTAAACTATAAACTGTAGAGTAAGTTCCTCCAAAAGTTAGTTTAGCTTATGCCCAGGAAGGAACAAGGACTGCTTAAAAGTTTAGAAGCAAGACAGAGTCATTTAGGCAGCCAGGTGCAGAGGCTCACACCTGTAATTCCAGTACTTTGGGAGGCAGAGGCAGGTGGATCACTGGAGGCCAGGAGTTCTAGACCAGCCTGGCTAACAAGGCAAAACACCATCTCTACTAAAAATACAAAAATTAGCCAGGTGTGTCACGCCTGCAGTCCCAGCTCCTCCAGCGACTGAGGCACAAGAATTCCTTGAACCCAGGAGGCAGAGGTTGCAGTGAGATGAGATTGGTCCACTGCACTCCAGCCTGTAGGACAAAGTGAGACCCTGTCTCTCTCTCTCTCTCTCTCTCTCTCTCTCTCTCTCTCACACACACACACACACACACACACACACACACACACACAGTCATTCTACCAAAAAGGCACTTACACTTCTAGGTTTATCACAGCACAATTCACAATTGCAAAAATATGAAATCAATCTAAGTGCCCATCAACCAATTAGTGGATAAAGAAAATGTGGTGTGTGTGTGTGTGTGTGTGTGTGTGTGTGTGTATGTATATTACAGAATACTACTCAGCCATAGAAAAGAACAAAATTATGTTTTTCAAAGCAATTTGGCCATTATCATAATTGAAGTAACTCAGGAGCAGAAAACCAAATACTGCAGGTTCTCACTTACAAGTTTGGGGTAAGCAATGGATATGCAGGAGCATGCAGAGGGGGATCATGGACATTAAAGATTCTGAAAGGAGGAGGGTTGGAGGCTAGTGAGGGGTAAAAAATTACCTATGAGGTAAAACGTACACTATTCAGGTGACAGGTACACTAAAAGCCCCAGACTTCACCACCATACAATTCATGCATGTAACCAAAAACTACATGTAATCCCAAAGCTATTGAAATTTTAATAAATTTATTTCAAAGAAAAAGCAGTGGTGTATGATTCTCCCAGTATTGAGTGTGTGTTGTATATACTGACTTTTTTTAATACACACAACATGAAAAGGGAGAAAAAGAATAATTTTACAGAAGAGATTTTTAGAACGAAAAGATTTTTATCCAGGTGATCAAATTAACATCAACAGTGATAAAGCCTGTTGACAGCTTGTGCCCTGGATATTATGTGATAGGAATGGTACTTTTCATCTATATTCTTCCTCCCTTAAGCCCAGAAGTCCAGTCTCATCATGAGAAACATCAGAGTAATCCTAAATTAGAAATGTCAATGGCATCAAAAACAAGGAAACTCTGAGAAACTATCACATTCAATGGAGCCTATGAAGCCAAAATATCTAAATGTGATGACGTATCCTGGAAGAGATCCTAAAACATAAACTTAACATTAAGCAAAAACCAAAAAATCAGAATAAAGTATGTATAGTACTCAATGACAATACATGAGATTGGTTGGTTAATTTTGACAAAGGTTTCACGCTATGAGATTAATAATAAAGGACACTGTGCATGGAGTATATGGAAACTCTCTACTAGATTTGCAACTATTCTGTAAATGTAAAACCATAGAACCATTTTTTGTTGTTGTTTTTGTTTTTTGTTTTTTTTCTGAGACAGAGTCTCCCTCTGTTGCCCAGGCTGGAGTGCAGTGGCATGATCTCGGCTTACTGCAACCTCCGCCTCCTGGGGTCAAGCGATTCTGCTGTCTCAGCCTCCAGAGTAGCTGGGATTACAATCGTCCACCACCATGCCAGGCTAATTTTTTGTATTTTTATTAGAGACAGGGTTTTGACATGTTGGTCTCGAACTCCTGACCTCAGGTGATCTGCCCGCCTCAGTCTCCTAAAGTGCTGGGATTATAGGCGTGAGCCACTATGCCCGGCTTTGGAAAACCATTCTTTAAAACTTGTTTTTGTTGTTGTTGTTGTTGTTGTTGTTGTTAATGTCACTCCCAAGCTTAAAAAAACAAATCATTAGCAATATTGTTGATACCTCCTTTGTGCATCTCCTTAATTTCTCAGTTTTCCTTAAGCACTGAACTTAACTATATTGTGAATTGTCATTCCATACTTTAAAAATAGTTTTTCCTCTTTGAGTATTTCTGAATACTATATTCTTCAGGTCATTTTGTCTTCAGATTTAAGTGAAGGTGTTTAATTCATTAATATTCCTAGTTTAATCATGAGAAAACATCAGCTGAAACCACATCATGGGACATCCTATTAAATACCTGACTGGTGCTTTTCAAAAGGGTCAAGGTCGTGAAAAAGAAGTGAAGGCCAGGAAACTGTTTCATATAGGAGAATACCTGATGTGTCAGGTAGACTCTAAGTTGGTGCCCATTTATCCCCACCTTCTCACATACAGAACCTTCTACTGTAATCCCATCCAAGTGAGTCTAAGCAGGAATTGAGACTTGCTTTGAAACAACAGAATAGTGCAAAGGTATAGAAGTGTCACTGGGATTCTTATATATGATTATGATTTTGGTCTTCCTAGAAATGTCTCTCTCGATGGATTTTATGAAGCCATGTGAGAGAAGCCCCCTTGGCAAGGCACTTTATTTAGCCAATGGCCAACAGCCAAGAAAGTAAGAGGCTTTTGTACAATAGACTGTTCTACAGTTGGAAATACTATATTTTAAACTAACCATACTGCCCAAAGAAGTTTACAGATTAAATGCCGTTCCTACGAAACTACTAATGACATTCTTCACAGAACTAGAAAAAAAGTGTGTTAAAACTCATATGGAACCAAAAAAGAGCCCCAATAGACAAGGCAATCATAAACAAAAAGAACAAAGCTGGAGGCATCATGTTACCTGACTTCAAACTATACTACAGGGATAAAGTAACCAAACAGCATGGTGCTGCTACAACAGCAGGCACATAGACCACCTGAACAGAATAGAGAGCCTAGAAATAAGGCCGCACACCTATCACCAACTGATCTTTGACAAAGCTGACCAAAACAAGCAATGGGGAAAAGACTCTCTAATCAATAAACGGTGCTGGGAGAACTGGCTAGCCATATGCAGAAGACTGAAACTGGACCCCTTCCTTACATCATATACAAAAATTAACTCAAGATGGATTAAAGACTTAAATGTAAAACCCTAAATTATAAAAACCCTGGAAGACAACCTAAGCAATACCATCCTGGATATAGGAATAGGCAAACATTTCATAATAAAAACTCTGAAAGCAATGGCAACAAAAGCAAAGATTGGCAAATGTGATCCAATTAAACTCAAGAGCTTTGCAGAGCAAAAGAAATTATCATCAGAGTGAACAGACAAACTATAGAATGGGAGAAAATATTTGCAAACTATGCATCTGATGAAAGTATAATATCCAGCATCTATAAAAACTTAAACAAATTTACGAGAGAAAAACAAACAACCCCATTAAAAAGTAGGCAAAGCACTGGGCGGGGTGGCTCATGCCTGTAATCCCAGCACTTTGGGAGGCCAACGTGGGCGGATGATGAGGTCAGGAGATCGAGATCATCCTGGCTAACATGGTGAAACCCTGTCTCTACTAAAAATACAAAAAATCAGGCAGGTGTGGTGGCATGCACCTGTAGTCCCAGCTACTAGAGAGGGGAAGACAGGAGAATTGCTTGAACCCAGGAGGCAGAGGTTACAGTGAGCCGAGATCGTGCCACTACACTCCAGCTTGGGTGACAGAGCGAGACCCAGTCTCAGAAAAGAAAAAAAAAAAGTAGCAAAGGAGAAGAACAGATAATTTTCAAAAGAGGACACACATGCGGCCAACAAGCATATGAATAAAAGCTCAATATCATTGATCATTAGAGAAATGCAAATCAAAACCACAATGAGATACCATCTCACACCAGTCAGAATGGCTATTATTAAAAAGTCAAAATAACAGATGCCGGTGAGGTTGCAGATAAAAAGGATCACTTACACACTGTTGGTAGGAGTGTAAGTTCATTCAACCATTGTGGAAAGCAATATGTCAATTCCTCAAAGAGCTAAAATCAGAACTACCATTCAACTCAGCAATCCCATTACAGGGTATACACCCAGAGGAATACAAATCATTCTTCCAAAAAGACACATCCACATGAATGTTCATTGGAGCACTACTTACAAGAAAAAAGACATGGAATCAACTTAAATGCCCATCAATGACAGGATGGATAAAGAAAATGTGGTACATGTGTATCATGGAATACTATGTAGCTGAAAAAAAAGAATGAGATCATGTCTTTCACAGGAACATGAATGGAGCTAGAAGGTATTATCCTTAGCAAACTAACACAGGAGCAGAATACCAAATTATCACATATTCTCACTTTTAAGTGGGAGCTAAATGATGAGAACTCATGAACACAAAGAACAGAACAAAGGACACTGGGGCCTACTTGTAAGTGAAGGGTAGAAGGAGGGAGAGGAGCAGAAAAAGTAAATATTGGGTAGTAGGCTTAGTACCTGGGTGATAAAATGATCTGTACAATAAACCTCCATTACACAAGATTACCTATATAACAAAACTATATGTGTATCCACAAACCTAAATTTAAAGATATAAAGTTAAAAAAATCAAAATCATATAAAAACTATAAAAAATAAAAAAACTAAACTGAGCTACCTTTCAAATAAAGTTATATTGCTTCACAGTTACTGTATCTTATAATAACAAATAGTCCTAATTCCTTTCTCCTGTCCTTTGCATTATTGCTGATATCCACTTCATATATATGTGTATATATATACATGTATACACACACATACAAACACACATGCACATGTGCATATATCTGTACACATATATACTTAAGATATGTACATAAGATATATACATAGGCATATATTATTTAACAATTTTTCAATTTTTTCAAGAAACTGTTTTCTCTTATAATAAACTAAGTATAAAAATGTTACACCAATAAAAAGTTAAAATTATATATAACTGATATTTTTAGAAATACGAGAGATGGAAAAATGTAAAATGCTTAATGAGAACCACAAAAGGCAGAAAATGAATGGAAGATGAAAATAGGAAGAACGAACAAGGACAACAAATCGAAAACATTGACAAATATGATAAATATTAATCCAACTGCATCGCTTACCACTCTGAATGTCAGTGGTCTAACTGCACCAAGTAAAAGACACAGATTTACAAAATGAATCAAAAAACAAGACACAACTGTTATTTATAAGCCCAACCCAAATATAAAGACAAATAAAAGTAAATGAATGGAACAAAATGTACAATGCTAACTCTAATCAAAGTAAACAAGAGGAGCTATATGAATTACAGGCAGAGCAGACTTCAAAGCAAGAAAAGTTATCAGGAATAAAGAAGGGCATTACATAGAGATGAAGAGCCATTCTTCCAAGAAGATGTCCTAATTCTTAAAGCCTATGAGCCTGATAACAGAGCATAAACTATGAGGCAGAAATCAACAGAACCACAAGGAAAAAGATGAATTCGGTATTATAGTTGGAAACATTAACACCCTATATCAGATACGGACAGATCTAGCAGGCAGTAATTCAGGAGCGAAAAGCTGAACTCAACAGCACCAACAAGCAACTGGGCATAACTGACACCTACAGTCTCCTTCCCTCAACTACTCCAGAGGACACATTCTTCTTAAGCTCACATGGAATATTCAGCAAAATGTGCCACATTCTGGGACAAAAAATACCCCAACAATTTTTAAAAAGTAAATCATACAATGTCAGCTCTAAGACCACAGTGGAATTAAAATAGAAATCAAAGGATGACTGGAATGATAACTGTAATATCCCAAAATGCATTGAGATTAAACAACACACTTCCATATAACATATTGGTCAAAGAAGATATCTCCAGCGAAATTTTTTTAAATTAACTAAATGAAAATAAAAGCACAATTTATCAAAATTTGTAGGATGAAAGGAAAGCAGAACATATAGGCAAATAAATACCATTGAACACATATATAGGAAATGACGAAAAGACCAAAAATCTGTCATCTGTGTTTCTACCTTTGGAACCTAGAAAAGGAAGAATATATTAAATCTAAAGTCAGTAAAAGAAAAGCGATAACGTTGTTAACAGACTAAAACAAAGGAAAAGTTAAAGCAACTGGATTTTTCAAACACATATTATCTTAATAGTTCTCAGAACACAGAGGCACCCAAAATTAACAGGGCAAACAAAGCACCCCAACACCCCCCTTGCTTACGGGCATGCAGCCATGACCCCCTCAGAAATGGGAACCTCAGGATTTAGAAATGATCAGTCTCGGGCTACTGAGGCCGGGCAGTATCATTTCCTCCGAAGTCACGCTGTACATTTTAGAATAGCTAAATAATAGATTTTTAGTGTTCTCACCATAAAGTATTAGCTGGTGAGTTGATGCCCATGTTAATTAGCTTGATTGAATCTTCCCCAATGAATACAAGAATCAAAATATCACACTGTTATCCATAAATATACGCAATGTGTCAACTAAAAATAAAAGTTTTGGTAAATTCTTTATCGATGAATAATTCACAAATAGGAAACGTAGGTAAGTAACAATTATGTACATAATATAAAAGGGCATATGTGACAGAAAGAAAGCTTTTTAAATGTACGTTACGGTCTGGGAAACACGGAGAAATCCTGAGGTTTGAAGAAGAACAAACAGGGACGACGACACAGGCAGGCACCGCCTCAGGAACAAGCGCGCTTCGCAGAGAAGCGACCAGAAAGCCCAACGCAGACCCCTCAGACATCCGCCCTGAGTTCTCCTGTAGATCTCACCGCCCTCTCCCCCTGTCAGCCGCGCCTTCTGATCACCGCCCTCCACCTTCCTCCCTCACTCCCTGTCAGCCTCGCCCTCCACCCGCGGCCCTCACGCCCCACGTGGGCCTGGCTCCCGCCCCCAAGCCCAGCCTGCGCGGCAGCCTCCGGTTCCCCTCACTGCGCAGCTGCGACCCCCGCACCGGCACTTCCCTTCAGGCTGCTCCCACCATCACCTGTGTGGGCGCCAGGTGGAGAGGAGCCTGCAGATCCGAGTTTTCTCCTCCATGGATCCCACCTACACCTCCAAAAGGATTGAGGGGGCAGAAACCTGCACTGGCGGGGAAGTGAGGGTCTGAGCGATGGAGAAAAGGCGGCGAACAAGGGCAGCCCCATGAGCCCTGCAGTCAGGCAGCCGGGGGTCCTCTTTGCTCTTCTCCACCCTCGTTTCTCCCAGACCCACACCCCACTGACCTAGCCCAGGAGCCTCCCCAGGGGACAGGGCCCACTCACTCCTCAACGTCCTTCCCATAGGCTGAGCTCATGGCCTGGGGTAACATCTCAGGGAACCAAACCCAGACATTCGAATCCCTCCCCACAGAGCGCAGTCCTCAGGGAGCGGCCCTCCCTGCCTCCCCTGCCCAGTCCCTCCATGGTCTGCCCTTCCTGCTCCTGCGTCCTCACCAATTACTCATCCCAGCGCTCCTTCCAATCCACCGACCTCTTCTCATGGCCTGGCCTGTGCCAGGCACACACATTTTCCTCATCGCTTTCCCTCCCGTCTCCTGGACCCACTGCGCCTCACTCTCCAGCATCTCCTCCAATGTTCCTCCTCCTGGAGGCTTCCCCTGTCCATCCCATCCAAGGCCTGAAACCTGTCCTCTCAGTTCCCAAGGGCAGCTCTTCCACCTTATAGTTTAATTTTTGTCAAGTTTTCTGAAACCCTATTGGACAGAAGCATCACAGAACATGGCAACTTTGTCTATGGTGTCTCTGAGCCCCACACATGTCCTGGACAAAAAGCAACTCTGAAAATTCTCTGGTAATCTATAAAAGTATAAATCAGTTTTAAAAGATTATTATCTGATAAAAGAAAATAAATTGAAGTTCCCACTTCTTTTCTACAGACGATAATCGGAAAACATTTGCTGTGTGGAGTTGTATGCACAAATTTTCGGAGTGGCGTTTTTCTTTTTAACTGAAGAAGCAATTTTGGTATTTACTCATCAAAGAGTAAGAGAAGAATACACACCTATATTATGAGCCATAAGTATAAGGAAATGTCTTGCAGACGTTTACAAATACTATGTAGAAGGAATCAGAGATTCAAGCCAGTATCTATAAATTTCAGGTAAAAGAAAAACAATATGCTGAAGTTTATTCGTGCATATTAACAAAATAACTGGTCTTTGTGTGCTGGAAGGGAGTCTTGATATTCCATCTATTCAAATTAATGCTTTTGAACCTTGCAAATTAGAACAAACTAAGCCATGTACAAAACCCTTTTTAAGTATGAGTCTCTAGCAAATTTTGTCTTGTGGTTCCCAGCAAACTTTCTGCACCTCTTCAACTAGGAGTATTTCAGATGAAATTTGTGGAAAACAATGATAGACAATGGGTGATATTTCCATTAATTTAATAAAGAGTGATAAAATATTAAAACAAAGATATTTTGAAAAATGATTATAATAATTAAACAAAAAAAGGCATTAATACACACTACAAAAATTTAAATTTGGTCATACATGTTTATGTGATGATAAAAGTACGTTGACACAGAAAGTGTCAAAGGCCTTTGCACACCAAAACAAACACTGTTTCATTTGTTGAAAACAAATACTGTTTCATTTGTTGAAAACAAATACTGTGTCATTTGTTTTCAGACAGCAAACAGAATGATTCTTTGACACACTCAGTCTTTCCAAGAAATAACTGAGTTCCCCAACCAACACCAGAAGTAGAGCAAGAAAATGTTCGTGTTTCCCATGAAGACACCACAGAGACAGGCTCAACTCTCCTGCCTCTACTTAGGCACTGTCTTGGATAGGCGTGGTCTGGAGGAGGTAAACCTTGTCTAGTGAGTTGTCTGTGTTTGTGCAGGAAGCACCCAGGGATGTTTGTTTTGTAAAAATACAAAAGTATACATTTGGTTGTACATGATGGCTATGTGACCAAGAAGAGAGTGTTTTCTTTGTGCTTAATACACAAGTTTTAAACACACTTGTACACAAAACCAAAAACCAAGATGTAACATTACAGTGCCAGGACTCAAGGGGAAATGTGCCATTGGTCAGAAAGAAGAATGATTATTTAACAAATTCATGCTTATATAAAATAACTGAATTCCCCACCCCACCCAACAGGGAGCTCCTCCCCTTGTGCATGCAGACCCCACAGAGAGGTTCTGAGCTCAGAGGCTCCCTGCTGGTCCTGCCTTTGATGTGCATCGTCTGGAGGAGGAGACCCATGTCCACAGCATCATCTACAGCAAGGCAGGAGGCACCCGGGGCTGCATCTCCAGGTTTTCCCACCACTTGCTGTTGTTGAAGGTATGAAATACATAAACTGAAGAGTGGTGTTCACGGATCTTATAAGATTAACAAAGACATTACAGACATAAGAGACAACAATGATATTCTGAAACTCTAAAGCCTCTGATTAAAAGTCCAGCTGAGAGTAGTGGTGTAGGTGAAAGGCATGGAGATTTTTAAACTTCTTTCACTTCATTATGGAAAAGCACAGTCATTAAGAGAATGGTCACTAAATTATTGTATTAAATGAAGTCTGTTAGCAACTAAGAAAGTGTTGCATTTGCACAGAGACAGAGGAATAAACCAATGAAAAAAGAAAACAGCATAAATACAGACATGTATATATGAACAAATCATTTGTAAGTCAATAAATGGGGACAGATTAATTTTTCTGAAACTATTAAAAAAACTTAATATTCACAAGGGAATTAAAATCTGACCTTTAACTTCATTTTACACACAAAATCAGGTGGATCACAGACATATATATATATTTAGTACACTAGGTAGAACACATAAGAAAATATCTTCGGGACTATGTGGTAGGTAAGATACCTGAAACTGGACCTAAAAAGCACTAATTATATAATAAACTATTCTACATATTCTACATAGTTGACTTGAGCAATGACTTTGGATACAGACTGAATCAAACTCAAAGCACTTTTAATCCTTTCATGTAGTGCTTAGTCTCAGATTCAGAACTGGCCCGTGGCAGTGGTAAAAGTGCTCACCTCTTGAGATGTCAGTTGGGTTTGTATAAAATAATATATAAAGCATGTAGTATAATATCACATCTATACATATCATTAAGACTAATTTTTATAATAAATTGTGAGATTTATCTTTTAGATTTATATATCAGAATGAAATAATAAAACCACTAATAATGGAGCAAATATTTCTAATTAGATTTTTATAATTATTTTATAAACTTTTCTCGACTAACATGTTTATATTTGTCTTATATCATTCCTGTGATTACATGAGACAGAACATATATGCAAAATACATTTACAAAGGTACTGCTAACACTTATTTCATTCAGAACAAACTCTCTGAATCACTTTCAACTCATCTTGTCCATGATTTTCCCCACAATATCATCATCTGTGCTAATCACAAGCATCAATGTTGCTGCATTTCTCATGGGACTCCTATACTACTCTATGCAAGTTTATCTTTCCAGTCTCCTGACACCCTTCTGTAAGTTTTGATGCTTGATGTAATTGCCCAAAGATGTCTTTGGGGAGGTTTAGACCAAGTTCATGTGTGTGTGCCTGAGGACAACCACATCATGACTGCTTTCTGGCAATAATGTTATAACCCTTTCAAACAGAAGATGCATCTCTCTTTAAAAGATGTTAAAATGTGTACCAAAGAATTGTTTACACACTTTTTCTCTGTGACTGCCTACTTCTCAGTGTTAAATCATGGTGGCTGAGGCAGGAGAATCCCTTGAACCCTGGGGGCGGAGGTTGCAGTGAGCCCACATCGCGCCACTTCACTCCAGCCTGGGCGAAACAGCGAATTCCATCTCAAAAAAAAAAAAAAATCATGGTGGCTAATGTGCTATATTTTAGTTTGTTATTAAGGAAACATTGTTGTATATCTTTTCACATTAATTTACCAATTCCATTCACATTCTACTTAGTTATTAGAAATATTAGACTTATTAGTGAAGTGCTGTAATTGTTTTATAAACTATGGTTCAAGAAATCTATTGATGAGGAAGATATAAATTGTAGAGAGACACTTGAAATTTTTCCTGAAGTGTTAGTTTTCTAAAGACTAAGGAAAATCTATATTAAAAGAATTGTGTCCTAAAGTTAGAAATATAAGCAATGATCCCTGCAAGCTATATTACAAATTCAATTCTTTAATCTATAACATTCTGGATCTCTGTTTTTCTTCATTCTCATTCACCCTTTTAATCACACAAATGGCTAAGGCTGAAGTCTCCCCTGAAGGCTCACCTGGGGAAGGATCCTCCCCAGGCTCACATGATTGTTGTTAGGATTTAATTCCAGTTCCATGTTAAGATGACTTCACTAGGAAATTATTTCATACTTTTAAAGAATTAATACAAATTCATTACGAATTCTCTAAAAATATTAAACAACAGCAATGACAGCGGTGAAGAGATCACGTCCCAATGCACACTATGAGGTACTTTATCCTCATACCACAATTAGACCAAAACATTTCAAGAAAGGAAAATAAGACCAATATGCCTTATGAATAAAGAGGCAAAAATCCTTAAGGAAATAATAGCAAAACAAATTAGCAACATGCAGAAAGTATTATACACTATGACAAAGGGTATTTCCTCAGGAATGCAAATTTTGTTCAACATACAATTCATGCACTGTATTAATGGATTAAAGCACAGAACCTACACGATCATCTCAAAAACACAGAATGAGCACTTGACAAGTCAAAAACACATTCATGATAAAGATATGCAGCAAATTAGAACTGTAAAGAAACTGTCTTCACTTTAAAGCATTGAAAAAAATAAAAACCCTCACATGATATAAAAGTTTTCTGAAAGGCTCAATACTTTCTCCAAGATTAGAAATAAGACAAGGAATTTCATTCTGGCCACATTTTTTCCCCACATTATGCTAGAGGATGTAGCAAGGACAACTAGTCTAGAAAAATGAATATAAGACATCTAGTATAAAAGAAAGTAAAACTCTCTTGGCAATTGACATGATTTGTGTATAGAACATCAAAATGACTCTAATAAAATAGAATGCAAATTAAAATATAAGTTCAATACAGTTCCAGTACACAAGCTCAGTATATAGAAATACATACTTCTATATACTAGAAATTAACAAACTTAACAAAAAACTCAGAAACCCATGCTATTTAAAATAGCATCAAAAAGGAAAAATACATAAGAATAAATTCAACAAAATATGCATACGACATGTATATTGAAAATTGTAAAATACATTAAATGTAATTAATAAAATTATATAAAAACAGACAAATGTTGAATGATCACTGATTAAAAGGCTTGATATTATTAAGTTGAGAATACTTTTTATATAGCTCTACAGATTTAATGCAATTTCCATGAAAATCCCAGGTGACCTTTTTTCACTAACTTGTCAGATTTTAAATTGTATATATAATGCAATAGAGAAGAGTTAAAATAATTTTGAAAAAAAACAGAATTTGTAAAATAGACCCATATTTTCTGATTTTAAAACTAAGACAAACCATACTAATTCATATGTATGGTGTAGACATACAGATAAATAGAATAAAATTGAATATCAAAAAGTTAACCTTTACATTTATGGTCAAATAATTTTACAAGGGCTCCAAGTAAATTCAATATGGAAAAGTATTTTTTTCATCAATGGATTCTGGGACAAGTCGACATCGTCAACATCAACAGGCAAGTTAAACTCCTCCCTCACAGTATATGCATAAATAGTTCAAATTAGTCACTGATATGGTTTGGACTTGTGTCCCTGCCCAAATCTCATGCCACATCGTAATCCCCAATGTTACAGGAGGGGCCTGGTGGGAGGTGATTGGATAATGGGGGAAGATTTCCCCTTGCTGTTCTCATGACAGTATGTGAATTTTCATGAGATATCGTTATTTAAGTGTGTAGGACCTCACCCTTCTTTCTCTTCTTCCTTCTCAGGCCATAAAAGATGTGCCTGCTTTCCCTTCTTCTTCTGCCATGTTTGTAAGCTTCCTGAGGCCTCCCCAGCCATGTTTCCTCTACACCCTCAAGAACTATGAGTCAATTAAACCTCTTTGCTTTATAAATTACCCAGTTTCAGGTAGTTCTTTATAGCAATACAAAAACAGGCTAATACAGAAAATTGCTACTGGGAGTGGGGCATTGCTATAAAGATAGTTGAAAACGTGGAAGTGACTTTGATACTGGGTAATGAGCAGAGGTTGGAACAGTCTGGAGGGGTCAGAAAAAAATAGGAATATGAGGAGAACTTTGGAACTTTCCAGAGACTGGTTAAATTGTTGTGATCACAATGCTGATAGTGACATGGGCTATGAAGTGCAGGCTGAGGTGGTCTCAGGTGGAGATGAGGAACTTATTGGGAACTAGAGTAAGGGTCACTCTTGTTATGTTAGGACAGAGACTGGTGGCACTGTGCCCCTGCTCTAGGGATCTGTGGAACTTTGAATTTCAGACTGATGATTTAGGGTATCTTGTGGAAGAAACTGCTAAGCAGCAAAGCATTCAAGATGTGGCCTGGCTGCTTCTAACAGTGTATTGTCATAGTGTGAGCAAAGTGATGCTATGAAACTAAAACTTATATTTAAAAAACAGGCAGAGCATAAAAGTTTAGAAAATTTGTAGTCCAGCCATTTTGTAAAAAAAGAAAAACCTGACCAGGTGCTGTCGCTCATGCCTGTAATCCCAGCCCTTTGGGTAGCTGAGGTGGGCAGATCACAAGGTCAGGAGTTCAAGAGCAGCCTGGCCAATATGGTGAAACCTTGTCTCTACTAAAAATACAAAAATTAACTGAGCGTGGTGGCACATGCCTGTAGTCCCAGCTACTCAGGAGGCTGAGGCAGAAGAATTACTTGAACCTGGGAGGTGGAGGTTGCCGTGAGCTGAGATCGCACCACTGCACTCCAGCCTGGGCAACAGAGTGAAACTCTGTCTCAAAAAAAAAATAAAAAAAAAAAGAAGGAAAACAAAAAAAGAAGAATCCATTTTCTGGGGAGGAATTCAAGCCAGCTGCAGAAATTCGCTTAAGAGGAGCCAAATTAGCCGGGCGCGGTGGTTCACGACTGTAATCCCAGCACTTTGGGAGTCTGAGAAGGGTGGATCACGAGGTCAGGAGATTGAGACCATCCTGGCTAACACAGTGAAACTCCATCTCTACTAAAAAATACAAAAAATTAGCCTGGCATGGTGGTGGGTGCCTGTAGTCCCAGCTGCTCGGGAGGCTGAGGCAGGAGAATGGCATGAACCCGGGAGGCTGGAGCTTGCAGTGAGCTGAGATCACGCCACTGCACTCCAGTCTGGGCAACAGAGCGAGACTCCATCTCAAAAAAAAAAAAAGAGGAACCGAATTTTAATAGCCAAGACAATAAGGAAAATGCCTCAAAGCCACTTCAGAAGCCTTCCAACAGCCCCTCCCATCATAGGCACAAAAGCCTAGGAGAAAATAATGGTTTCAAGGACCAAGCCCAAGGCCTCAGTGCCCTGTGCAACCTTGGGCCACTGATCCCTGTGCCCCAGCTGCTCCAGCTCCAGCTATGACTAAAAGGTCCCCAGATATGTATCAGGCCACTGCTCCAGGAGGTGCAAGCCATAATCCTTGGCAGTTTCCACGTGGTGTTAAGCCTGAAGGTACACAGAGGGAAAGAGTTGAGGCTTGGGAGCCTCTGCCTAGGTTTCAGAGAATGTATGGAAATGCCTCGATGCCCAGGCAGAAGTCTGCTGCAGTGATGGAGCCCTTAGGGAAAACCTGTACTAGGACAGCGCAGAGAAGAAGTATAGAGTTGGAGTCCCCACAAAGAGTCTCCACTGGGGGCCTAGTGGAACTGTGAGAAGAGGGCCACTGTCCTCCAGAACCCAGAGTGGTATATCCACCAACAGCTTGCATTATGTGCCTGGAAAAGCCACAGGCACTCAATGCCAGCCCTTGAGAGCAGCCATGGTAGCTGAGCCCTGCCAAGCCAGAGAGGCAGAGCTGCCCAAGGCCTTGAAAGCCCATCCTTTGCATCAGTGTGGCCTGGATGTGAGATGCAGACTCAAAGGAGATCATTTTGGAGCTTTAAGATTTAATGACTGCCCTGCTGGGTTTCAGACTTGCATGGGACCTGTTGTCCCTCTGTTCTAGCTGATTTATAACTTTTGGAATGAGTGTATTTACCCAATGCCTGTACCCCCATTGTATATTGAAAGTAACGACTTTGCTTTTGATTTTACAGGCTCATGGGTAGAAGGGACTTGCCTTATCTCTGATGAGACTTTGGACTGTGGACTTTTGAGTTAATGCTGAAATGAGCTAAGAGTTGGGTGACTATTGAGAAGGAATGATTGTATTTTGCAATATGAGAAAAACATGATATTTAGGAGGGGTCAGGGGCAGGATGATATGGTTTAGATTTGTGTCCCCTCCCAATCTCATGGCAAATTATAATCTCCAATGTTGGAGGAGGGGCCTGGTGGGAGTTGACTGACTCATGGGGGGTAGATTCCCCCTTGCTGTTCTTATGACAGTGAGTTATCACAAAATGTGATTGTTTAAAAGTGAGTGACACTTCCTTCTTCTATCTATTCCTCCTTCTCCAGCCATGTAACATATTCTTGCCTCCCCTTTGCCTTCCACCATGATTGTAAGTCTCCCCAGTCATGCCTCCTGTACAGCCTATAGAACTGTGGATATATTAAACCACTGTTCTTTATTAATTACCCAGTCTCAGGTAGTTCTTTATAGCAGTGTGGGAACAGACTAATACAATCATACACCTAAAAAGCCAAAACCAAAAACAAAAACAAATTGTTTAACAAAGGTTAAACAATGGTTTCCAAGATATGAAAACTAATACACAAGAGGAAGGAGAAAATAGATATATTGAAACATCACTAATAAAATATATCATAATTTAAAGTACATAATAAAATAGTAAAAACAATTTTAAAATGGGAGAAAAGTCTTTGTACGTCAAATAGTCAATAAGAATTTATAATCCAGAATATATTACAACATCTTACAACTCCAAAATCCAAAGGCAAATGCTCCAATCAAAAATAGTAAATTTGAACAGTCATGTCTCCAAAGAAGCTATAGTAATATTTAATAAGCATATAGAAAGATGCTCAATGCCTCTGTCATTAGGGAAATGCAAATCCCAACCATAAGATATCCTTTACTGATCCAAGGGGCATATTACTAAGTCCAAAAAGCAATTTTGTAAAAGCAAAATACTTTTTGTTTTAAAAAATGTATGACACTCTAGAAAGGGCATAAGGATGGAGACAGTATAGAGTTTACTGGTTACCAGGGTGTCAGCCAAAAGGAAAGACAAATCTGTAAAGACAGAAAATTTCTTTTTGTATAGCATTATGTATGCTACTGTAATGTGGATAAAAGATACAGTTTTTCAACTCCCACAAAACTTTATATCACAAAGAGTGAACCTAAAAGTATGTAAATTAACAAAAAAACTTATTTAGTAGATAGGAACAGACCAGGAAGAAATGCAGAGAAAATATACAAATCTATGAAATAATCCACTGGAGGAAGGGTAAAAAGAAGCTGACCTAAGCAACTGACATAAGTTATTCAGATTCTGTCTAAAGGCTAAAGGATTTATACATAAGCAGTTGGTATACATAAACAGGTGGTAACGGTGTTTATCATGGGGTTGTATGTTTCTTATTCCAAAACCACTATGCCTGCATTTTCAGGTGGTTAAATATTACACTGGTAGGCTACATACAGATAAGTGAGATGGGTAGACAGATTCACATGGTGCTAAATAAGATCGTGTGGGACTGAGGACGCTGCAGGAATTCATGTTTAATTTAATGTGGATACATATGGAGACTTGTAGAAATTTGTAAACATATGTGTGTATTTACTCTTTGCTCTGTTAGATAACAAGGCCTCCAATCAACACATTCCCCAGTAACAATGGGTACAAACCAGTGAGTGCCCAAATCTTCATTTTTTATTTCATTCTCCAACAAAAAAGGTAGGGGTCTGTGAGAAAAAGGTCAAATATAGACTTGAACAGGGACTAAATACAATTAGCCTGGAGTATCTAGTGGTGATCAAACAAGACAAAATGCTCAACAACAATGCAACCAATGAATCAGCCACATAACAAGCTCAAATCTTAAATATGGTGGTATTTCAAAATGACAAGGGACTCAATTGAAAGACTAAATGCTCTGTGTACATCCTGGATAACTCCAGAAACATATTCTCAGCCCTAAAAGACATGCACAAGCAAACTAATGCTATGTCTAATCTCATGATGTCTTTAAATCATATGGCTTTAGATATCTTCACTGCAGCCCAGGGTGGCACTTGTGCATTCATTAAGGCTGACCATTTTACACACATACACACACACACGCACACACATACACCAAATTATTCTCACAATATAACCCAAGCTATGCATGTAGATACCCATATTTCTGCTATAGATGCCCTCTCTCAGGACTCTATGGCATCATGATTTAGTCAGCTTCCTCGTGCATGAAATACTTTTATATATATTATTAAAACTGTTAAATGCCCTCTTCAGCTGCTATGAATTTTATTGCTGTTGTACACTCTGCATGGAGATGCAGGAAATCATTTTCAGAAATTCGTGGATCCTCACATCATACATGCACAGTAAGTTCCTGCTGAAAACTCAAGAATATTTCCAACTCCAGGTAAACAGATTCCATTCTAATGCTCTATAACTATGCCCCCTTTCAGTAGAAAGCAGACTAAATGAATATGATGCTCCAATTGAATAAAAATAAAGTAGAATTTGACAGTGGGGTGTTGTAACCAAGTACTTCATTTTCCTTAAAAAACATTTACTTTTTCTTTTTCCTGTGTGTTCATGTCTTACTTAGCTCCTTAGAAATGAAAATTCAAACTTTTCCCTCCTTCCTTTCCACCAGCCAAACAACCAGCAAGCACTGTCAGCTTAGCTAAGTATACGTTTGTTTATAAATTACCAAATCTTGAACCAAAGTAAGAATCCACCAGAATTCTCCTCCATAGAGAGATTGTCTCAAGACATCAGTTAATCCACAACCTGACTCTGTCCCCAGTGATGCTGGGCAGGCTAACGAGTGACCCAAGACTAGAGATAAGTCATCCATCGAGTCATGCAGATCCTGCACCTCCACACCCCTTCTGCATGGCCTGCTTCCAATATTTCTTCTTAAAACCCTGTTTTCTTCGTAGAAAACTTATATGGTTCCTTTAGATACGAATCCAGCCCTCCCACATTGCTAAGCTCGGGAATAAAGTGACTTTCTCTTTTTTTTTTTGGAGACGGAGTCTCGCTCTGTGCCCCAGTAGTTGGGATTACAGGCACACGCCACGGTGCTCGGCTAATTTTTGTATTTTTAGTACAGACAGGGTTTCGCCATGTTGGCCAGGCTGGTCTTGAACTCCTGACCTCAGGTGATCATCCCGCCTCGGCCTCCCAAAGTGCTGGGATTACAGGTGTGAGCCAGCGCGCCCGGCCAGTGACTTTCTTTTTACTACCCTTCTGTTACTTGATTCTGCAAGTGGCCATGGCCAAACCTGGGTTTCGTAACAAAATGGTGCCAGGCTGTCGTACGACAGATGAGGGGCACTTTTTCCTTAAAGCAGGATCTGTTGATTCTGTGTACAGCACCGAAGCCCACAGACCCTGACGGCTGCCACACCTAGCAGGGCAAGTGCCCATCTATTATTACACATTCCCATAAAATACCAGTGTTTTGCTGTGTTGATTGCTCATGTCTCACACGTCTTGAACAAATGTCTCCAATCTTTGTCTAAGTTTTGACTAAGACAACAAAAGTAAAATCTAAAAAATTCACAAGTATGAAAACCTTTTGAGACTATTAAACCGGATGAAAATGATAATAAATAAAAGATTGAAATTCCTTTTTGTAAGCTAATAACACAAAAATATTTTCTGATCACAGCACATGATGTACACATTTTCTAACTGGTATTTTTTATATCACTGAGAACTAAAAACGAGTTTAATCATCACTCATCAAAAATAAGAAAATAATCCATATCTAATAGAATGGGTGATCCGTACTGTCATGTACACGTACATGGCGGTGAGGTGGAAGGAATTATGGAGTCCAGTCAATGTCTACATCTTTTGTACAAGGAGAAAATGAAACAACATCATGAAGTTCACACCTGCATGGTTAAGAAGAGGTTGCTCCTTGCATTCAGATGTGAAGTCTAACTTTCCTGCCACACAAATCAATACCTTGTTAACCTTTCACATGTACAGCAAACTAAGCCATAGAATAGAAAGTTTGACAGATCTTTTTAAGCATAAGAAGATCTTTTTAATGTGGGACAATTTTGCTTTGTGGCTTATAGAATAGTTTCTGTCCTTCTTTTTAACCAGAGCTATTTAGGAGGAAATTTCTGGAAAATCATAAAACAGAAATGTGTAACGTCTGTCGCTTCCCATAAAAGTGATATTAACATTCAATTTTTGAAAGAGAAATAGGAGTAAAGATGAAAATAATTGATATGGTTCATTGAAAAATATTTATGAATGCATTTTTAAAATAGAGAAATAAAGGCCTTAAATCTATGATACAAAAATAAATATTTGGTTTTAGATGATGTTTATATGACCAACAAAAGAGAATATTTATACACAAGCATTTAAGACATTTGCACAACAAATTAAATCAAAATCAAGGAGAAATATCACGATGTAAAATCTAAAGTCTTAAGGTGTCATTGTTCAGCAAGCAGAATCATTTTTGAACAAACTCAGCCTTTTTTAAAAGACCTGAATTCCCTACCTCAACCCACAACCAAGGCAGGGAGCTGCTGTCCTTGTGCATGCAGAGCCCCCAGAGAGGCTCTGAGCTCAGAGGCTCCCCTGTGAACCTGCCTTTGTTGGGCATGGTCTGGAGGGGGACCCTGTTCACAGGATCATCTACAGCAGGGCAGGAGGCAGCCAGGGCTGCCTCTCCAGGTTTTCAACAACATTGGCTGTTGTCTAAGATACTAAATACATAAAGTGGGTAGTGGTGTTGGGAGACTCCTAAGATTCACAAGGACATAGAGATTTCAGAGTCAATAGCAACATTCTAAAGTTGTATATCCACAGCCTCATTCAAGGTACAGCTGAAAGGATTGCTGTAGGTGCAAGGCATGCACGTCTGAACTTCTTTCACCTCATTATAGAGCAGCTCAGTGGTTAAAAGCACAGGCCCTGGGCCAGGCACAATGGATCACGCTTGCAATTCCTACGCTTTGGGAGACTAAGGAGGGTGGATTGCTTCAGGCCAGGAGTTCTAGATAAGCCTGGGCAACAATGAGAGACCTCCTCTCCACTAAAAAAAATTAAAAATTAGCCGGGCATGGTGGCTCGCACTTGTAGTTCCAGCTACTGAGGAGGCTGAGCGGGGAGGATCACTTGAGGTCAGGAGTTCGAGACGAACCTGGCCAACATGGGGAAATCCCATCTCTAATAAAAATACAAAAATTAGCTGGGCATGGTGGCACCTGCCTGTAATCCTGGCTACTCAGGAGGCTGAGGCAGGAGAATCGCTTGAACTCGGGAGGCAGAGGTTGCAGTGAGCTGAGATGGAGTCACTGCACTCCAGCCTGGGCTACAAGAGCAAAACTCCATCCCAAAAATAAAATAAAATAATAAAATAAAATAAAGACTAAAACTACCAGACAGCTTACAGCTCAGGGATTTTAAAGACACAGAGGCAGGGGTGATACACAGTCATAAATTAATACATTGAGGTTACACATTGGCTTTAGCCTGAAAGGATGAAGTATCTTGAAGTGGAAGCTTACAGGTCATAGGAGGATTCAAAGATTTTCTGATTTGTGATTTATTTAAGAAAGTAAAATTTGTCAGAAAATTTGGGATCAGCAGAAAATAATGGCACTTCTGGCTCATAGACATAACATCCCGTAGGCCCCTCAGGAAGAAATTGAGAATAAAGAATGGCAGAGTTCATTTCATAGATCCCCTTTATCTGAGGTCTATGTGCCAGTGGATCCATTTAGTAGAGGGGCAGCTTTCTGAACAACAACTCAGGGACATATGCTAAGCTTTGATTTTTAGTTTCCATAGGGAACCCCATATTCCCATGACTCTCAATTCCTTGCTACTGTTTTACCTTCTTGCTTCTCAAGTGGCTCGTGTACTTCTCAGAGGTAGAGAGGTGCCTGGAATTTCTGTGAAGGGACTCAAGATTTTCCTTTATTTCCATGCTTCGGGTGGTACACAGGCCCCTATGAGGGGTCCCTGCACCTTCTCAGGCCCTAAATAAATTCTCATCTGCTTGTGGGACTCCTGAATTTCATCAACCATTTTCTTACTTTTGTATTGCTTGCCGCTTTCAGGTGAGAATATTCCTGTTCAACCTTGGCAGACGAATCTCATCTTCACTGGCCAAGACATTTGGATGACTATTCGTATATGAATTATGTCAAGAGTGCCAAAGTTCAGTATAAAATAATACACATCAGTTGATCCACTATTATTTAATAGAAAGGTGGGTAAATTATTGACTATATCAATGAAAATGGAGATATAAATAGTTGCTACCAGGAAAATATTTTTAAAATATTAAGCTAAATGAGAAAAAATAAAATATTTTAACACCCTTCCTAAAAGTGATTGTTACAAATATATTTGCTGAATACAGCAAAATTATGTGTACATTTTCTAAGTGGCATTTTAAAAATTTGTCACTGAGACTAATTATTACTGCCTCAATTTCAGAGCCATCCTTGGTCTGTTCAGGGATTCAGTTCCTCCCTGGTTCAGTCTTGGGAGGGTGTATTTGTGCAGGAATTCTTCATTCTTTCTAGATTTTCTAGTTTATGTCCATGGAGGTGTTCATAATATTCTCTGATGGTTGTTTATATTTCTGTGGGGTCGGTGGTAATATCACCCTTGTTGTTTCTGATTGCATTTATTTGAATCTTCTCAACATCACTCATTATTAGAGTAACGCAAATCAAAACCAAAATGAAATACCATCTAACACCTGTCGGAATGGCTATATTAAAAAGTCAAAAAATAACAAATAACAAATAATCAAACAAACAACAGAGGCTAGCAAGATTGTGGAGAAAAAGGAACACATACACTGTTGGTGGCAGTGTAAATTAGGTTAACCATTGTGGAAGACAGTGTGGTGATTCCTAAAAGACCTAAAGACAGAACTTCCATTTGACCCAACAATCCCATTTCTAAGTATACATCCAAAGGAATATAAGTCATTCTGTTATAAAGACACATGAACACATATATTCACTGCAGCACTATTCACAATAGCAAAAACATGGAATCAATCTAAATTGTCCATCAACGATAGACTGTATAAAGAAAATGTGGCACATATACACCATGGAATACAACACAGCTGTAAAGAAGAACCAGGTGATGTCTTTGCAGGGACATGAATGGAGCTGCAGTCCATTTTTCTTCGCAAGCTAACACAGGAATAGAAAACCAAATGCTCCATGTTCTCTTATAAGTGGGAGCTAAATGATGAGAACACATGGACACATAGAGGGGAACAACACACTCAGAGTTCCTGAAACCATCGGTCTGGTTTCCGATGAATGGGGCAATCAGACACACAAGCACACCAAGGCTTAACCGCTCTGCTCACTGGAAGGGAAAGAAACTACCCAGGAATGCCACCTGCTTCCAACTAGCTGATCCCATGATTGGGGCTCTAGGGAATTTCTCTTTACCTGCCGAGATGTTTCTGTCTTGGGGAACTTCCTTTCTCTTCTTGCCACTGCACCAGCTGCCAACTACACTTCCTTACCACAGGGCAAGTGACATCTGAAGAGGCTGACAGACTTCAGAGCTGGGTAAGGCAACCAGAATACCCCCTGAACGGCCTCTGCCTGTTCTGTGATGTCACCTGAGCTCTGCTCTGTTTACATATAGCTGCTTGTGACATCATCTGGGTGTGTCTCGTATCTGTATCTACGTCAAGACCTGGGCTTTGCTCCACTTGGAGTCAGCTGATTGGCGGGAGGGCATCTGCAATTGAGAGGAGGTTTCAGGACGTTTACCCAGCCCTTTAGTGGGGATCTGTCTGGGACTGTGCAGTCTGAATCTGCAACTGTAAAAGTGTACAATATCTACATTTAGGCCCTCATCTCTGTCTCTCTCTCCTCCTCCTTCTTTCCTCTGCAGGGTGATCTGCATAAGCCCCACTCCATCCAGGATCCAGCCCTGGAGGGAAACAGCCTCCACTGCCCTAGCAGGGTCACTCTTTTTAGGGCCCTGGAGTACTTCTCACAACTGTGCCAGTTTTTATGGGGAAAGGAAGGATGTGAACTCTTCCATAGGTTATCTAAAGGGCTTGCCACCATGCTTATGGTGCTTAATGTTTTTTATGTGAAAAAAAGCTTAACAGCATATGGGATAAGTATTTAGGCAGTCCTGACTCCAAAGCCTCTGCCCTTTTTGTCTGCCTAATTTACCATTTAATTTGTTGCCATTCAGTTACCCTCTACTAGGGTACTAAGGACAGCAGAACATGGACTTGGGATGAAGTTGATGTGCTGGTGGGCTGGGCCAGTGGGGGACGGGGCGGTGGTAGGGGAGTGCTGTGCTAGCTGGTGCTAATCACTAGCCTGCCCAATGAGTTTATCCTCTGGTCTCTTTGGCTGTCCCAGCTGTGTGGTGAGATTTGCACAAGTGTTCCTTTTAGGACCATGAGTGGTACTAATTGCACTGCTTATAAGAAGCTAGAAAAGTCTTTCCAACCCATAGAGCTCTGGTTGAAGGATATAAGCAGTGCAGAACAGAAGAGAGACAACAAATAAAAGTTGTCATCACTGTTTCAACAGGGATGAGCAGTATGGACATAGAAACCAAGTCAGGAGGGGAAACAAGGTCTCTATCCCCCCTGGGAGGCCCCTGGGGCATACCCTAGCTAACTGTAGAGCCTATAGCTATCAGCGCATGACTAACAGAAAAATGGTCTATTATTGCAGTGCTGTTTGGACTGTGGACAAGTTAGGTTATAAATTTTGACCTCTGAATGGACGCAACCAATACTAGTCTTTAATGCAGTTAGACTCATTTTGTCAGAGGTCTGGAAAATTAGAAAAAATACCGTATGTTCAAGCCTTCATGCTTTTCAAAAATCAAGATTCATACCATGAGGGAAGATGCCAGCTGCTAGCTGTACCAAAGGACAGAATGGAAAAAAGGCTCTTCACAAGCCAGAGAGCCAAACTCAGGCAGAAAGCAATGAAGAAGAATTAGGACTTTTAAATGTCCTACACCCAAGCTGTTTTAGCAGCTCCAACCACCACAGCCAGAATGCACCTGGCCTCTGCTCCACCCCAACAGCTCCCACTGCGGTACTGCCATACGGGACCCTTAGCACTGGCCTCTGCGTTGGCCCAGATTGCCTTGATGTTACCAAGTGGGGCATCAGACCAATAAGAGGGAGCTACTCTGCCGCCTCAGTATAATGAGAGAACAGAGACGGCCTCTCCCTCCAGTGCTTGACAGGGAACACGATTTAGCAAGGAAGTGCCATGGCCGGAACAAGGGAATTACCATTTACAAGGACGGCCACGGGTGGCTTGGATGCCAGTGGGCAACCTGTCAGACATTACTGGACATCCAGGCCATTTTCAACATCTAACTTGTGAAATGGAAAAACTCCACCCCACTTTATAGAATGGATCCCCAGAAAATGACTGATCTCTATGTGTCTATCAGTGCTACCCACCAGTGTACCTGAGCAGATGTGTAGTCTCTCCTAAATATGTTTCTGGCTGCAGACCAAAGAAGATCCAGAGTCTTGGCGCCTCCATGAAACAAATCCAAATGCCCCAAACCTGAAGGGAGCATTCTGGATGCAAACCCTAATTGGGGCTCCAATTGATAAGGGCACATGGCCCATCTGGAATATTCACAAACATTCTTCCTGTTTGGACTCAGGAAAGGGGTACCAAAACAGGAAGCCTCACTAGGAATGACCCCTTCCCCGCTCCAGAGACAAAGAAACAGAAGTTTCAACCATAAACGTGGGATGAACAAGGAAGCCTCTGCATCAGAAAAATCGAGGCAAGCCTCTGGAACACAGCCAGTGTGCCTAGTGTAAGGAGAAAGGCCACTGAAAGGATGACTGTCCCAAAAGAAAGGACCAAGGGGCCAGAAAAAGGAGGAATATGACTAGGAAAAAGCTCACAGTCAAATCATGGAGCAGGGTCACTGCTCTGACCACAGAGAGTGATGCCACAGAGAGTAAGGACCAAGGAGAGTCCTTAATCACTCAGAGACAATTAAAATTTCCCCACAGGAACCCTGGGTACAACTGACAGTGAGGAAAAAGTTAATTGATTTCCTGGTTGATACTGGGCAAACTATTCAGTTTTAACACTTTATGAGCAAAAAGCACCAAAATGATCATACCTGTGATAGGAGTTGCAAGAATAATGCAACAAAAGGCTTTCCTACAAAGTTTAGAATGCAAACTAGAAAGTTTGGACCTAAGGCACTGCTATTTCTATATGTAAGAATGCCCAATTCCCTTGCTGGGAAAAGACCTATTATGCAAATTAAATACTCAAGTAATTTCTCCCAGAGAAACAACTACGGCTGCAGGTCCTGCTACAGAAAGCACTGCAACTAAGATGTTATTCACTTGCCTTAATAAGAAAGAAGAATTCTCCCTCAGAAGTCTATGAGAGAGTGCGTAATTGTGAATAGGCAGAAGGAATCCAAGGAAAAACAAAAAATACCGTGAGTGCATATAGAAAAAATAGAAGGGGCTACTGTGACCTGGGCGGCGGGGAGGAGGCGAATAAAAAAATCAGTATACATTAATAAAGGAAGCCTTAGAAGGAATACAGCCTGTCTTTCAAAAATTTGAGAAGTAGACTGATTCATTCTTGCAGATCCCCATATAATAGCCCTATCGTGCCTGTAAGGAAGCTACACTTCTACAAATATCAATTTGCCCAAGACCTGAGAGCCGTTAATAAAATAGTTTTGGATATTCACCCAATGGTGCCTAACCCATACAATCTACTGACTGCTATATATAGATGTTAAGAATGCTTTTCAGTGCTAGATCTGAAAGATTTTTTTCCTGCATTACAATTGAAAAAAATACCCAGCAATTATTATTATTATTTTAATGACAGGACCCAGAGAGTAAAACAACTTTTCAATACTGTCAGACAGTGGGACCTCAATGTGTTAAAAAAACACACCAACAATTTTTGGGGAAATAGTGGCAAAAGACTTAGGAGACCTACAACAAGATTAAGAAGCCTGGCTACAACACATAGATAATTAATACCAGCCACAACTATAGGAAATGCTTAGCTGACCTCATCTTAGTTCTAAATCACCTGGTACAATATGGATACAAAGTATTCCCAAGAAGCCCCAAATATGTAAGTAGAAAGTAACCTGACTTGGCTTTAGGTTAAAGCAAGGCCAAGGGAGCCTGTTCTGGTAAAAAAACAGGCAATAGCAGCCATAAAGCCCCAGAGAATGGGGGCAATCGTGGGGATTCTTAGAAAGGGTTAGCTTCTGCCAGATTCGGATTCCTAAGTTTGGACTAATGACTAAAACCCTTTATGAGTCCCTACACGGACTAGACTCAGAGGCCCTTTTCTGGACATCTAAAGGTCAACAAACATTTTATACCATCAAAGAAAAGCTGATATCAGCCCCCACACTGGGATACCAAATTCCCAAAAGCTGTTCAAATTCTATATCCAAGAGAAACAAACCATAGGTGTGGGTTGTGCTAATCCAAATGCTGGGAGTTGTCCCACATTCCATGGCCCATTTCTCTAAACAATTAGGCCACAGGTTAAGGGATGCCCCCCACTTCCTCTGGGCAAGAGCACACACTGTGAAGTCCTACAGGAAGCAGAACAATTTACTCTGGGACAGCCAGTTACCGTATTTGTGCCCCATCAGGTGCTGACTCTGCTAGAACAAACGGGAGGCTACTGGCTCACTGTGGGGTGAGTGGGCAGATACCACGCCATCCTCTTACGTGATCCAAATATCACCCTACAAACCACCATGGCTCTAAACCCTGCCACACTGCTCTCAGCCACTGAACACAATCCTGGGTTAAAGCATGACTGTAAATCCTTGATGCAGCTTATTCAAGCATGCTGAACCTGTCAAACTAGACAATGAGTGCTCTGGACTTGAACTACACTGATGGGAGCAGCTTAATGAAAGATGTGCACAGAGCCGGATGTGCCACCATGACTATCAAAAGGATAACAGAAGTCCATATCCTTCCTGCAGCTACCTCCGCACAAAGAGCTGAGTTAATTGCTCTTACTTGAGTCTTTAGAACTGTCCCAGGAAAAGGGATTCTCATTCCATACATGCATTCCTGGTAATGCACACCCATTGGGTGTTTTGGAAACATAGAGGAGGCCGCTTCAAATCAGAAAATACAGACATTAAACACCCAAAAGAAATTCTGGCCCTAGGAGAGGCAATTGCCTTGCCTGCCCAGGCCTCCATCATGCACTGCCCCAACACCAGAGAGATAATTCATAACCAGAGGTAACCAGGCAGCTGGCAAAGCTGCAAAATGAGCTGCTTGGGAGGCACAGGTTCTGGGACATGAATACTCCATTTGGAATTACTAGATTTTAAACCTCATTACACTGAATAAGATCCCAAACGTGCCCGAGCCAGGGGTTTGAGAAAAGAGAGTCCAACTCCCCCTGGAAAACTGACACTTACAGGATGATGATATTCCCCAAGGCCTTGGTTTATCTGATCTCAAAACATCTACATAAAGGAACACACAATGGGAGTGATGTCCTCGCCAACCTAGTGCAACCACATCTCAGTAGCCCACACTTCCAAGATATCATTTGGAAAATTACACAAGGATGCATCTCGTGCACTTGAAACAATCCCAAGATGGAATGTAGCCGTCCTAAAAAGGGGATATAGTACAAAGGGCTGAGTCCCTTCAAAGACTGAAAGGTGGGCTTCACTCAGATGCGTACCTGGTTATGTGTGCAAAGGAAAGTTCTGAAACTATTAATAAGAGAAAAAGGAGGAGATATAAGCAATATACTTTTGTTAACATGAAGTTCTCAATTAGTTCTAGAGTAATAAGTACATACTTGATCTTTGCTGAAACTACCTGAATGGGTGTAAACAGTGGCTTTCCTCCAAAACAAAAGACTGCTGGGTCTGTGGGGGAAATACCCCTTTCTCCACTGCTGACTTGCCGTTGCACATCCAAGCAACCAACTCGAGCACTTGGAGTTATGTTTATACGTGGGACAAGAGTAAGAATTCTCACCCATTTCCCATCTATGATTACAGTACCACTCACCATGAGTGCTCCACTTTTGGGGAAACCTGGAAACAAATCTTCCATCTGGCTCATAAGCAGGTTAATATCACCCCCTCTATAGACTATGCTGTACATGACAACATAGGATGGCTGGTGATGGTGCAAATTCAGGCAATGGGTCAGGCACCTCTACACATCCAAAAACACAAGAGCAACACACCCCACACTAGCAGCCAGGCTAAGGGATGGTTACCTCTTAGCAATGTGGCCAAACCCATCAACTGACTAATCATATGTGGCTAGGATGGCAAAATAGTATCAAGCTACATGGTGGGGCCTATCCTTTCTCCTGGAGTTAGCTATGGGTGTGAGGCAGTCATAGCTGGTCTTACTTACCTTACAGCTGAACCGGCAGATACACCTGGGGGTGCCCTTACCTACCAGGACACATCCTGTCCCATCTGGACTCTCTCCCTGACGACTGGGAAAATGTGAAGGCCAGACAACACCATCAAAAATGGGCACCCTGTTGGTTCTACTCACTAGCTGCCTTTTCCTCGCAGACAGCAAACATAGATGTAGAATTATAAGTAGAGACCCTAAGTATAGAGCTGCTGCCAGTAATAACACCTAACCCAACGTTACCCTTCCCACTGAAAAAACCTGCAGATTAGACAAGTGGCTGTATAGAACCCTATGGCCTTAGATATCCTAACTGCAGCCCAGTGTGATACTTGTGCATTAAGACTGAATGGTGCGTATATACACCAGATTATTCTCACGATATAATCCAGGCTATGCACGCACTGAATACTCATATTTCTGCTATAAATGTCCTCTCCCAGGATCCTACAATGTCATGGTTTAGTCGACTTCCAGGTCCATGGAAGACTCTCATATACAGTATAATTGGTATTCTGCTCCCTGTTCTGTTTGGTTGCAGTAGTTTTTGTTGCTTTTCAAGATCTGTATGGAGATGCAGGAAAAACTTTCCCAGAAACATTTGGGTCCCCACACTATAATGCTCCAACACATTCTCACATTAGTCTGGGAACCCATGAATATTTCCAACTCCAGGTAAACAGATTCCAATATGATACCCTCTAACTGTGCCCCTTCTCAGCAGGAAGAAGTTAGATGGACTGTGTTGCCCATTTTCCTTGGAAATGGAATGGTCATTTATGGTGAAGGATTGTAATTGAGTAATATAGCTTCAAAATAAGTTTCTTCTTGCTCTTTTTTTTTTCTTCCTCCCAGTCTCAAGATGTAACCTTGAAGCAAACTGCAGAAGCCATTGCTTTAGTCTTCAAGTAGAACGCTGAAATATACTTTGGAACCACACCCCATTCAGTTTCCCACTGTACACATCCATTCCTTATACACATTTATCTAACTGTATGCTGGCGAAACTCACACCATGCATACTTATCTAACTATATACCTGTCAAAAAAATACCAGAGGCTAATTTAAAATGAACCAAACACAAAGGCCCAGCTGTGGAATTGTCTCTCTCTTAAAGATTGCCTCAGGATGGATACCTATGGCCTGGCACTATCAAGATGGTATCAGTCTGTGGCTCCAGGTGGACCATAACTCAAGATACACACTGGAGTAAGACACAGACTCCCTGAATCTGCACAACACCTGCATGCCTCCCACGTCATGCATCATGCTTCCCTTTCTTTAAACCCCTGCCCTCAGCCCAAACTTTTGAACTGGTTTATAGAGGTGTAATCCAGCCATTTCCCTACTGCTGGATTTGAAAAATAAAGTCACTTTCCTTTCACCCTGAAAGTCCTCCTTGTCATTGCTTTTGAATGCATAGAACAGCTGGACCTGCACTCAGTTACATGTGTATCATAGGAGGAATGGAATATGGCACTTTTCTCTCTGACTGCCAATGACTACTTGGAAACAAGGGTACCTCATTTTCTGTATTGTGGTATATTATTGAAGAAATAGACTTATACTTTCACATAAGCTGACCAACTCCATTTACCCTCTACCTAGCAGTGGAGGCAAAAACAACTCAATCTTGAAAGCTAATTCACCATGTTGACTTCTGATTAACCCCTGTTCTGGGACTGCCTCTAAGCTTTCTGTATAAATATTTTTTTCCTTTATATGCAAACTAGGGGATAAGATTTCTATTGTGTCTACTGTTCCTTGTGAAAATCATTATTTTTCTGTAAATCCTGCCCTTAGGTCAGAACCACCATGACTATAAATCCTGTGCTTAGATTCCCATGGCATTTCTGCCTTTCCCTGACAGGTAGACTTCAGTTTTCCTACACATTCCTTCCCCATGGTATATAAGTCCTATGTGAGACTCAAATATCTGTTCATAAATCCCTACTAAATGTTTCTTTCTAAGAGACTGGTTATATCAGCCTCTATCTTCAGCTGTTCAGCTTCCTCATATTTTGGTGGTAGGTTTGCAAAGACCTGCCCTCCATGGAATGCTAACTATGAAAAATGGAGAGCTTTTAGTGGAGTAATGAAATCCCTATTTTACGTATGTAGAAATAATTTAAAAAATGATGGTCGTAGAAATCTGTTGAGGAGGAAGCGGAATTGTAATGGTTACATGAATGTTTCCCTGACCGAGATTTAAGGCTTCAGGAAGACTGAATAAAGTGAACGTGAAATCATGTTCTCAATTATATGAGCCACCCATCCATTAAACTCTAACTTCCAATCAGTCTAAAGTGTGGATGGAGAAAGAGTGTTAGGTACTTGCCTCATGAAAGGGTCTAGGAATTTGGCTTGTTTGCAATGATAGTTTTTGAAAATTGCAGTGTCCAGGACAGCCACTCTGAAACCTGGTAGCTTAGTATATTATGGGAAATCATAATTTTTGTGCTGTCAGAGAGGTTGTTTGGGAACTTGGAGCACCACACGATGTCATCTGTGCCTGTGACATCATTTAGCACAGCTTTGAATTTAGTGCCTGTTTTCTTTTAAACCTCATCTCTCCAGTCTCCATCTCCCTGATATGCCACATTAAGGTGGGTTACATCTTGTATGCATTCACTTATGTCTAACTTATGGATTGCCATTCTAGCTTTTTTTTAAATTGCTTCCTGGTTTAGTGAAGCACAATCTTCACACTCTTCATCATGATAGATTAGAAAACATGCATTGAAATCAAGATAAAAAGGGATTTGACAAGTCACGAAAGTATGATAGTATCTCCAGTTCAAATGAAATAAATGGAAACACTCACCATGTTTTAAAATGGGAACCTTAAATGAAAGCTGTCATGTCTCAAGTAATAAAGTATGAGCTTAAAGAAGTTAGTTTTCTTGAATTACAAATGCTCAATTAACACCACCTAAGTAACAGTTATCCTCATCTAAGAATGAGAAATAACATCCATGAAACTGAATGTCTCTTCCAAGTTTCTAGGTCACAGGAGCTCATTTTCTCACTGTCACTATTACTGTGGTGTAGACAATAGACCCCATGTTTATAGACCAAAAAACAAATCAACATTATACATGGCCACGGGTGTGGAGAATGAAGTCTGATGTCTTTGTGGGTTTTTAGGCATGGTCCCTGGAAAGAACCCTGGTGCTGTCCAGCAGCGTGTTGAACAGGAAGTTGTGTGTGGGGTGAATGGAGAGTCCTTCCTGCTGTGGGATTCTCTGTTTAGCCAGCACATATGCAGAATCACCACTCAGCTTGTGTCTATCTCTTAGATCACTGGTGGAGGGTTGGGGTTATGTGGTATTTTCTTCCTTCCTTTTCTTCCTTCCCTCTTTCCTTCTTTCCCTCTTTCCTCTGTCTCTTTCTCACTTTATTTCTCTCTTTCTCTCTCTCTTTCTTTCTTGGGTCTGACTTTATTGCTCAGGCTGCAGTGCAGTCACACAATCATGGCTCACTGCAGCCTTGACCTCTTGGGCTCAATCCGTCCACCTGCCTCAGCCTCCTGAGTACCTGGGACCACCGGTGTGTGCCATTATACTCAGCTAATTTTTCTATTTTTTTTTTTGTAGAGACACAGTTTCTCCATGTTGCCCAGGCTGGTCTTGAACTCCTGGACTCAAGCAATCCACCCACTTTGACCTCCCAATATGCTGGCATTACAGGCATGAGCCACCACACCTGGACTGTTGTTTAGCCTCTATCAAGTTTTCCATGCCTGTGCAAAACCTATTTGGAATCTCAGCTGCCAAAAATCTGGTGTGAAAAGATTTTTTTGTCCAGGTCCAGATAAGTAGAAACTGCCAAAACCACCAACCACCATATATATATATACATATATATATACACACACACACACACACACATATACACACACATATATATACATATATATACATATATATACACATATGTACATATATACACATATGTACATATATATACACACAAACACACACATATATATACACATACATATATATATAGACACACATACATACATATATATATATTTTTTTCTTTTGTATTCCACCCACCTGCTGTCATGATGATGCCCATTTGGTGACTTGGGGATTGCTGATATAATTCTGGTATTCAACAGAATACAAGGTTCCATAAAATTCCTGATGGAGAACGTGGAGTGAAAAGAAATTATCACAGAATTGCAACCAGGCTTGAAGGCAGAATTATCTTTAGAAAACTAAGCCTATATTAATAAAAAAATTATAATATGAAAATATAATTTCTATTTCTTGTCACTAACATTCCTCAATCTTGGTCTTTGGCATCCAGAAACTTTGTCTGCCAAAATACGTTCAGTGGGATCCTGTAGATATGTTCCTAAATGATATCTGAAAATGGGCCTTTCTGGGGTATGTGAGGCATAGGCAAATACCTCTGAAAACAGAGAGGTTACTGACACTCAAACGAGTTACTTGGTAATAAAGAGTGTGATGGGGAGGTCAAATATGGACAAGAGTTCCTTGAGTTTGATGCTGGCTTCCTAAAGTAGATGGATGTATGTATGGAAGGGTAAATGTATGCGGAAATTTGCTTGGCTATTTTTTTCTGTATGTCCATTCATCTTCTGAGGCCAACTTTTTTTTTTGGAGTCATGATCTCACTCTGTTTCCCAAGCTGGAGTGCAGTGACACAATCATGGCTCACTTCAGCCTGGAACTCCTGGGCTCAAGCAATCCTCCCAAGCCAGCCTCCCCAGAAGCTGGGATAACATATGTATGCCTGTCTCTTTTAATTAAAAATAAATAAACAAAGATTTCATTTTAAAATAATTTTGATATACATAAAGATCCAAACATAGTACAGCTAGTTTTACATACCCAAGAGTTTACTAGAATATTAACATCTCATTTATATACCCATAGTGTATTTATGAAAACTAATAAATTTATGGTGGTATAAAACTATTAACTGAACTACAGACTTTCTCGAGAGTTTACCAGGTTTTCTAGTAATGCCATTTTTCTGTTCTAGAATCTAATCCAGGGTAGTATTATAAACTAAACGTATTATCTTTTGTATTAGTTATCAGTTGCTGCACAACAAATTGCCACATAGTGCGGTGGCTCAAAATCACACACACATTACTTACAGTTGCTCTGGGTCAGGAATCCAGATGCAGATGATGTCCAAGGCTGAGGTCGCAACTGAAGGCTCATCTGGAGAAGGATCCCCTCAAAGCTCGTGTGATAGTTGTTAAGATTCCATTTCCTACCCTGGACTGACCATGGTGGGTCAAACTTGTAATCCCAATGCTTTGGTAGGTTGAAGCAGGAGGATTACTTGAGGCTAGGGGTTCAGGACCAGCTTGGGCAACATAGGGAGAACCTGTTTCTACCAAAAAAAAAAAGAAAGAAAAAAAAAGAAGAAAACAGATTAGCCAGATATGGTGGCATGTGCCTGTGGCCCCAGCTACTCAAGTGGCTGAGGCAAAAGGATTGCTTGATCCCAGGAATTCAAGTCTGCAATGAGCTACATTCATGCCACTGTGCTCCAGCCTGGATCTAGAGTGAGACCCTATCTCTGAAAAAAAAAAAAAAAATCCTGACTAGGTCAAGAAGACATCAGCAGTGAATGATTTTACATCTTCAAATAATTAATACCAATTTATCATATATTTTACAATAAATAAACAGTAAACCCAAGCCTGTGGCACCTAGCAGTGAAATGAGGAGCAAGCAACCCAGCCAAGGATTTTGAGATAATGTGGTCTTGTCCCTCCGTCCATCAGCCATCAGCACCTGCAATTCAAATTCCACTTCCCAGAGAGGGAGGAAACTGGTGGCAGCCACATGTGCAGCACAGCAGTGTCGGCTCCAGCAACAGCCCAGTTCCCAGGGTGTGCCTCTGGCTTCACGGAAGTCACCTGCTGCACTGGTTTGCCAACTGTTTGTTTTTCTAAGTCCTCATCTGGGAATAGGTAACAACTTTAATAATAATATTTAAATCCTTGTTTTTTTCAACTTTTAAGTTTTTAAAAACTCTGATATTCTATTTTTTATAGATATTTATAAAGGCTCACAAAATGTGTCACATCAAATGTGTACATGTTAGGTCTCCTGAGCATACAAACTAAATTGGCCTTAATGAAATACCAGAATTTAAATTTTGTATTTCTTCTAATTAATGAGCACCTGTTTGTCAACCCATATTTTCATCTTTCTCTATACTTGTAGGTAGTGTATTTAAAGAAAGAAATATGCAAAATAGTGAAAATCATATTAAAAAGAGTAATTTATCACCCACCTTTCTCTCTCCCTTTCTGGTGTATTGTAAATCTCCATCTATGTAGCCCAATCACATCTCTTTACTACTCTGATTTGGTTTTATTCACTTATACAATATAATTGTTTGCAAAGTCTGAAAATTATCTTGAAAAAATGTACATTTTTTTCTCCTTTTTATGTGTTCAATTCTATTTGTGCTAAATAAATTTAGACCTTTCACATAAAAATCAGTAAGAACACCAGTGAAGAATAGATCACTTTCCAATGTGAATTATCAGCCTCATACCAAAGCTAGAAAAAGTTACTGAAGAAAAACTATGATCAATATGACTTATGAACATAAACACAAAAATTAAAGGAAATACTATCAAAACAAATAACAGACATGTAAAAATTTATAAATTTTGACGAAGGTACACGTCTTACGAATGTAAATTTGGTTCAACATACGAAAAGAATTAGTGCCATAAACTATATTAAGAGATAAGGGACACAATACACATGGTCATCTTAAAAGATGAGCAATAAGCACCTGCTAAATTGAAATTTCATTCCTTATAAAAACATGCAACAAGTTAGGCAAATAAGAAAAATTTCCTCACAATGAAAGCACAGACAACCTCACATGACATCCTAAATGTTCTGAGAAGCTCAAACACTTTCTTGTAAAATTAGAAACAAGAGAAGGATATTACCTTTCATAGTTTTATTCACTACTGTATTGGAGGATGTGGCCAAGGTAATTGGTGTAGAAAATAAATATAAAAAAGTCAGATTGGAAGGAAAGTCAAATTATGTCTCCATATGACATGATCCTGCCTATAGACATCATAAAAACTCTAATAAAACATAACAAAATATGAAAAAAGGGATAAGCAAGCTTGTAGTACAGCTTAGTACAGGTCAATATACAAAATCAACTGTATTTTTATTTATTAGCAATTAACAATCTAAAAACAAAATTTCAAAACCATTTCATGTAAAATGGCATAAAAGTTAAATACCTATGAATTAATTTAATAAAATAAGTATAAGACACATATACTGAGGACTACAAAACATATCAAACAAATTAATACTATTATAAATTAAATACATTGAGCTTTCACTGATTAGAAAGCTTAGTATCATTAGCTTGCTGGTACTTCCCAAATATATCTAATGCAATCCCTAGCTAAATCCTAGGTGACATTTTCTCCCCTAATTGACAATTTTACTCTAAAATTCATATATAATGCAATAGAATTCCAGAACAGACAAAATAATTTTGAAAAAGAACAAAGTTTGTGTAGTAAAATGCTACTTTCTGATTTCAAAACATACTACAAAAGCAATAGTAATCAAAATTGTGTTAAGGATATGGAACAACAAAAGACCCAGAGTAGCCATAGCTATCTTAAGCAGAAAGAACAAAACTAGAGGAATTACATTACCTGACTTCCAATTATACTAGAGAGCTATAGTAAATGAAACAGCAAGGTATTGGAATAAAAATACCCATATAGACCTATGGAACAGAATAGAAAACCAAGGAACAAATCCACAACCCTATAGTTATCTCATTTTCGACAAAGTTGCCAAGAAGGTACACTGGGGAAAAAGCCAGTCTCTTAAATAAATGGTGCTGGGAAAACTGGTTATCCATATGCAGAAGAATGAAACTAGAACTCTGTCTCTCACTGTATGCAAAAAATCAAATCAAAATGGATTAAAGATTTAAATTGAAGACCTCCAACTATGAAAGTACTACAAGAAAACATTAAGGAAACTCTCCAGTATGTTGGTCTAGGAGAAAATTTCTTGAGCAATATCCCACAAGCATACGCAACCAATGCAAAAATGGGCAAATGAGATCATATCAAGTTAAAAGCTCCTGCACAGCATAGGATATAATCAACAAAGTGAAGCGACAATCCACAGAATGGGAAAAAATATCTGCAAACTACCCATCTGATGGATTAATAACTAGAATATATAGGCAGCTCAAACAACCCTATAGGAAAAAAGTCAAATAATCCAACCAAAAAAGGACAAAATATTGGAATAAACATTTCTCAAAAGACATACAAATGGCAAACAAGCATATGAAAAGGTGCTCAAAATCATTAATCATCAGAGAAATGCAAATCGAAACTACAATTTTTTGCATTTCATCTCACCCCATATAAAATAGCTTTTATCCAAAAGACAGGTAATAACAAATGCTGGTGAGGATGTGAAGAAAAGCAACCCTTGTACACTGTTGGTGGGAACATAAATTAGCACAACCACTATGGAGAACAGTTTGGAGGTTCCTCAGAAAACTAAAATCGAGCTACCAAATATATCCAGCAGCCTACTGCTGGATATATACCCCAAAGAAAGGAAATCAGTATGTCAATGAGATATCTGCACTCCTATGCTTGTTGCAGCACTGTTTACAACAGCTAAGATTTGGAAGTAATCTAAGTGTCCATCAACAGATGATTGGATAAAGAACATATGGTGCATATAAACAGTGGAGTAATAGTAAGCCATAAAAAATAAAGAGACCCAGTCATTTGCAACAACAGGGATAAAACTGGAGATGACTATCTTCAGTGAAATAAACCAGGCACAGAAAGACAAATATCACATGTTGTCACTGATTTGTGGGTTCTAAAAATCAAAACAGTTGAACTCATGGACATAGAGAGTAGAAGGATGGTTAACAGAGGCTGGGAATGGTAGCAGGGGGCTGGGGGAAGGTAGGGATGTTTAATGGTTACAAAACAAATAGAAAGAATGAATAAAACAAACTGTTTGACAGCATTAACAGGATAACTATGAAAGTCAATAATAATTGTATATTTTTACAAAACATAAAAAGTATAATTGAACTGTTTGTAACACAAAGGATAAATGCTTATAGAGATAGATGTCCAATTCTCCATGATGTGTGCTTATTTCGTATTACATGCCTGTACCAAAACATATCATGTACCCTGTGTCTGTTTATCTACTATGTGAGAAGGAGAGATGTTGCGGGAAGTCAGGGACCCTGAACCGAGGGACCAGCTGAAGCCATGGCAGAAGAACAGGGATTGTGAAGATTTCATAGATATTTATTAGTTCCCCAAATTCAGACTTTTATAATTTCTTACACCTGTCTTTTCTGAAATCTCTGAACATAAATTGTGAAGATTTCATGGACACTTATCACTTCCCCAATCAATACCCTTGTGATTTCCTATGCCTGTCTTTACTTTAATCTCTTAATCTCATCATATTCCTAAACTGAGGAGGATGTATGTCACCCCAGGACCCTGTGATGATTGCATTAACTGCACAAAGTGTTGGTAGAGCATGTGTGTTTGAACAATATGAAATCTGAGCACCTTGAAAAAAGAACAGGGTAACAGCAATGTTCAGGGAAGAAGAGAGATAACCTTAAACTCTGACTGCCAGTGAGCTGGGTGGAACAGAGCCATATTTCTCTTCTTTTAAAAGCAAATGGGAGAAATATCACTGAATTCTTTTTCTCAGCAAGGAACATCCCTGAGAAAGAGAATGCATCCCTGAGAGTAGGCCTCTAAAATGGCCGCTTCAGGGACGGGCGTCTTTTATGGTTGAAGCTGTAGGGATGAAATAAGCCCCAGTCTCCCACAGTGCTCCTAGGCTTATTAGGAGGAGGAAATTCCCGCCTAATAAATTTTGGTCAGACCGGTTGTCTGCTCTCAAACTCTGTCTCCTGATAAGATGTTATCAATGACAATGCGTGCCTGAAACTTCATTAGCAATTTTAATTTTGCCTCTGTCCTGCGGTCCTGTGATCTCACCCTGCCTCCATTTGCATAAAGCATGTTACAGTCCGTACCGTTAACAGGATGTGATGAGAATGGCACTTTCCCTCTGTGGTCTTCCTCCCTGAAACCTACAATCCAGTCTAATCGGGAAAGAAACACTAGAGAAATCCCAAATTAGGAACACCAATGTCATAGCAATCATGGAAACTTGGAGAAATTGTCACAGTCAAAGTTGATTAAGGAGCATGAATTGTAAATGTAATGAGGTACCCTGGATAGGATCCTGGAATAGAAACTCGACATTAAATGACAACTAAATCAATCTGAATAACGTGTGGATAGCTAATAATAGTGTAATATCGGTTGGTTCATTGTGACTAATATCCCACAATAATGTAAGGGGGTTATTCAGGAACATGGTGTATGGAGTCTGTGGAAACTCTATGTATTATATTTTGAACTGCTCTGTAAATCTAAAACTATTCTTAAATTTCAAAAATCTATTTTATTTTAAGCCTTTGCTGAGCTTATAAAACAAAAAGAACATTAACAATATCATTGATGCCCCCTGAATGTATCTCCTGAATTTCATCATCTTTGTTAACAGCTGAAGGTAACTATTATTATGGATTATCTTTGTCAATCTCTAATTTTCTTATATTCATTTTTCCTGTATGTTTGTATATATAAATACTATATTGTTTAGTCTCTTCTCTTTAAACCTAAATAAATATAAATATTGAAAACATTGAATTTAATCCATATCCCTAGTCTAATTATGAGAAGACATCAGACAAATTCATATTGTGGGAAATTTTACAATAGAACTGACTAGCAGTCCTTGTCAAAAGGGTCAAGGTAATAGAAAATAAGTGAAGACTGAAAAACTATTTCATATTGGAGAAGATCAGATATGGTAGGTAGAACCTAAGATGGCACTCAATGACTCCCACTTCTAAGCATAAGTAAAGTTGATAAGTAACTTTGTATTTTAATTCCTTCTAAAGAATGTAGTCAGAAACTGTGAGTTGCTTAAAATCAACAGAATACTACAATGGTGATTGGACATTAGTAGGATGATTATGTTACATTAGATTGTGATTCTTGTGTTGCTAGCAAAGTCCCTCCCTTGGTGACTTTGATGGAACATTTGCCATAAGGGAGAAGCCAACATGGGAGGAAACTGAATGCAGAAACAGGCCAAAGCCAGCAAGGAACTGAGGCCCTTGGCCCAAAACCCTTACCCAGAGTTTGCAATATTACATTTAAAATGAATCCAAGATACTTTTCAAAAAACACTGTATCGCTCACAGATAGTATGAATATCTTGGAATAACAAAATAATCTTACCTCTTTTGTTCTCCCTATTAGTGCTGTCATTCATTTCACTTTTACGTGAGTACACATACACATATACATGTATATTTATATACACATAACATGCAGATATAACCATGCCTAATCAAATACATCTGTGCTATTATTATTTTCTGGAAACCATTATCTGTGAGACTAAATTAAGAATATGAAAAATAGAAGTTTTACTCCATAAGGCAACCACTAAAATAGTAAAAAAAAAAAAAAAGTTATATAATTGATATGCTAAGAATGGAAAGAAAACAGAATTGCATAAAATTCTCAATTAAAACCACAAAACACAGAAAATAAGTGAAGTACAAAAACGGGAAGAAAGAACAAGGGCAACAAATCAAAAACAGTAACACATATGGTTGATATTAATCCAACTCCATTGGTTGTCAATAGTCTAAAGCATCAATCAAAGAACTGAGAATGTCAGTGTAGATCAATAAAGTCAACCCCCAACTAAATGATGTTAAGTAAAATCTATGAAATCTAAAGACATGTATACACGTAAAGGAAATAGACGAAACAAAATAGCCTAGGCTAACACTTACTTATCAAATAAAGGAAGAGTCGCTGCATGAATTACAGACAGAGAAGTCTTCAAGCAAGGAAAGTCACTAAAAATAAAGACGGGCATTACACAAAGATGAAGGGGTCAGTTCTCCAGTACAACATAATAATTCTTAAAGGATTTAAGTGCCTAACAACAGAATGTCAAACTATGTAAGGCCAAAACTGATACAACTGCAAACAGAAAGAGATTAATTCATTATTATAGTTGGAAACCTCAACACTCTCTGTCAGACAGTATTTGTCTGCAACTGTACAGTTACTGTCATCTACACACAAGGGTTACCTCAGCTCCACCCATCTAAGTGCCAAGCATTTTCAAGAATGGAGATGTGCCTTCGTATATTACTGGCGGCATCTCCTGCAGGGGCTCCACAACAGGGGCAGCACTGGTCTCATAGTGTCCTGTACCTATTAGCATGCATCTCTCAAGGGACTCATGGAAAGGGCACTACATTGTTGCAGGTATGCATACCACTTCTGTATAATGCAGGCTTGAGAAATAGCTGATATAGGCCTGGAAAACAACCCTTCTATCCAGCCCTTAATGGAGAGATCTGTTCTCATTGTTACTGGCAGATGATCAGTTACAGGCTCAATGTGCTGCATGGCCTTACACGCTCCCAGAACCTGTTGTTCAATTGGAGAATACTGGGTTTCAGCACATTTCCATAGCTGTGACCAGAATCTCAGAAGAACTGCTTTCCCATGCTGAACGTGCCAGAGGACCCGTCTTGTCCCTTCAGAGTTTACAGTCACATCTAAAGACACTGGTATCCCGGAAGGGGGGAACTAGAGCTTGTGCCTGAGCCATCAATATTTTAGCTTTCTCAAATTACTACCACTTGTTCTTTATCCTAGATACCTTTTTCTTTCTTTCTTTTTTTTTTTTTTGAGACAGGGTCTCTCTTTCTTGTCACCCAGGTTGGAGTGCAGTGACATGATCTCAGCTCACTAAATCCTCTGCCTCCCAGGTTCAAACAACTCTCATGCCTCAGCCGCACAAGTAACTGGGATTACAGGTATGAATCACCATGCCTGGATAATTTTTTGTATTTTTAATAGAGAGGAGGTTTCACCATGTTGGCCACGCTGGTCTCAAATTACTGGCCTCAAGTGATCTACCCGCCATGGTCTCCCAAAGTGCTGGGATTACAGGTGTGAGCTACCGTGCCCAGCTTAGATTGCTTCTTTAATAGTCAGTATAGGGGAGGCAAACACTGAGATAAATACGAGATGAAAGACCACCAATATCCCAAAAGACCTAGGAAACTTTGAAACTGTTTAACTGCTTTAGGTATGGAAAACTGTTGTATTTTTTCAATGACCAAGCCTAAAGTAAGGTGTGTCTTACCAGGCCAAGTGATCCATAGGAACTTTGCAGCTAGTCCAAGCCTTCCACTTTTGTGCGTTGATGGCCCATCCTCTGGATTGAAGAGTGCCAATGCATCTCGGTGTTGCTGTAGCAATGACAAGTCTTCAGAAGCCAGAATATCATCCACAGAATGCCTGCAAGTCAGGGTAAAAGGGATGCTTAAGAAGGCATTAGCTAAATCTAACACAGCATGATAAGTGCCTATGTTTTGTATTAATTCCTCAATCACTTGAGTTATATTACACACAGTAGCATGTATCTTGGAAAGATTAGTAGTGTCCAGTTGTCTACTGTCATATCCAAGTGCCATCAGATTTTCTTAGTTGTCATACAGGATGGTTGAAAGGACTCTGGGCTGGCTGGATAATATTAACTTTCGCCAGTTTCTCCATGGTGGCTGTGACTTCTTGTATTCTACCAGGAAGATTATATTTTCTCACATTAACAATACATTGTGGGGGAGGGAGGTGTACACCTTCCCATTTTGCTTCCCCTCTTAATATAGCCTTTGTCATGGGTGAAATTCCCCCACAGATGTTTGTAAAGTGCATCCTAAGAAGACATCCATCAAGATGTTTTCTGAAATAGATAAGTTAAAGACAGGAGAGTAAGCAAGGTGGGAACTCCAGACAAAACTAAGGAGGAGAGGAGTTTGTTTCACTCAGATTTTTAAACCCTCACAACCATCTATAGCTTCCCACTTACCAGCGTGTCTCTCGATTTCCATCAATTCAGACACATTCTGCACCTGTGCCCACTAAAGCTAAGGTTCTCCAATCAACAGTGAGCTCCAAATATGGCCTCTGGTCACCCCCTATTGCTCTTACACAGAAGCAGCCTTGACCCTACCTATGATCTCCAGGCTGGAAAGAAGTCCACCCCTGAATTGCAGAGATTGGGATCCTTTTACCAAGGGTTTCTTCTTGTCTTTCTCCCTCTTCTGGTGGAGGGGGGTTACTAAGAAGGGGTCTAAACTACTGATCAGGAGTCAGGTCTTTCCAAACCCCACTAATATGCCACTGGGTTGCCCATCTATATTCTCTTTGTCAATCCCAGCTGAAATCAGATCATACCACATTTGTTTCCTAGTAACACTAATTGCGCCTTTTTTAACTCCTTTTTTCAATCCAGCAAACTTTGTTTCTCCCTTTTTCCATTTTCCTTTAGCAACCAGTCAGACCTAATCTCTTCCCTTTTGAGTTTCTAGGAAATCTGAAATGGCTTTCCCTATAACTTATCCCATAAGGGGATTATTTCACTTCCGGGGGTACTTCTATCTCGATTTTTCAGGTTCATTCCCTTCTAGGGAGATACCATCCCCACTGGTGTCCCATAGCTGCACCACTCATGTACATAAGGCTTTCTCTTGGCAGCTGTTTAAAAGTTTTTGCTATATCCAGTAATCCTAACCATGCCTGTGTGTATTGGAATTTTGCTTTCCACTGCATGAACAGTTTCAACCTCAAATGGGGAGGATAATGATCTTCCTCCTCTGAGTTAAACTCTATGTCATCATCTGGCTCACTGGTTGGTTCCCAAGAATTGCAGGTATTTGCATCCCAGCCTGGCTTGGCAAGGACAGTCCACACATTCAGCTGGCACAGCTTTCTCTCTCTCAGCCACACAAAGTGGCAAGGTACGATTTCCAACTGTGCCTCTTGAGTTTCAAGTTTATCCAAAAAACCAGACATTAGCACAGACATGGAAGTTCTCATCCCTTTCTCACTGCGATTCTTTTCCTAGCTTCCCTACACTTGCCTCAGCTGCTACCTGTGCTTTTGTGACCACTCGCATAGAAAATAACAGTAGCAAACTCACTGCTGGCACTGCTTGGCAACCTTTCTCACCACTGTGAGTCATACTTTTTAGTAGCATTTTACTAACAAGCTTTCTACACCCTCTGTCACTTTTGAGGTGCTCTCAAACACACATAGTGGCCAAAAGACGTGGAGCATATGGGCAACGCCACCCACGTGGATGAGGAGGGCCGCTTGTAAAACTTCCTCCACAGATGCTTCTTTCCCCTTGTCCATACTTTGGTTTCCTGGCTGGCCATTTGCTCTGTTAAAGGGCCGTATACACAAAACAACTCTCAAATGCCAAAGGATCGGAAAATTAAAGAAGGCTGAAAATCCATTTAGTCAGTACTGGTTAATTTATTGATGGAACTTACACACAGAAGCATAACCTTGGATGGCTGCAGGTAGGTAGCTGTTCACACTGTTACTCTCCAGACCCAGGGTTAATACTCCACAGGGAAAGGGTATACTTGCTTTGGCAAGGCAATTAAAAGCAACCCTCCACAATGGAAAAGGAGGCTACATGCATCATAGCCTCTAATTTTTGTGGTAACACCCAGGTTGACATGATTTTACACTAAGGACAGTAAATAATTGAGAGATCAGAAGGCATTCATGGAACTGGGGCAAATCAGAAGTAACATGGTGGACTAGCATCCAAGATGGGTCATTTTGTCTCCACAGGTTCTATGACCTGCTGTTTTTTCGAAGTACAGCTGGGAATATTAATGTAAATGCAAGACATGCAAGGTTTTATCCTTCCTTGTCTTCAGTAGCACAGTGATGAAGAGAACAGTCTCTGGAGGGAAATTTCTAGTGTGAAATGAACTCTCCAAAAAATAAGAAGATGTAATATTTGAGCACAGATAGAGGAATCAATAGGCCAGGCATGGTGGCTTACGCCTGTAATCCCAGCACTTTGGGAGGCCAAGGCAGATGGATCATGAGGTCAGGAGTTCGAGACCAGCCTGACCAACATGGGGAAATCCCATCTCTACTAAAAATACAAACAAAACAAAACAAAACAAAAAACAAAAAACTAGCTGAGTGTGCTGGCATGCATCTGTAATCCTAGCTACTCAGGAGGCTGAGGCATAAGAATTGCTTGAACCCAGGAGGCGGAGGTTGCAGTGAGCGGAGATCACAACATCACACTCCAGCCTGGACAACAGAGTGAAACTCCTTCTCAAAAAAAAAAAAAAAAAAAGAAGAAGAATCAATAAAAATAAAAAAGAGTTGAAAATCTGATAGATGCATGTATAAACAAATAATCCAAAAGAAAAATTAATGGGAAAAAATGAATTTTCAATAAATATTTCAGGACACTGAATATCCATCTGGAAAAATAAAATTTACTTTTAAACTCATGTGCAAAATCAACTTCAGGTAGATTATAGACCTCCATAGAAAAAAGAATTAAATAGAGTATTTAGAATTTAACATAGGAAAAGAATTTCATTATAATAGTGTACGTGAGGAATTCTTAAAAAGCACCTAGAAAGTGTTTACTCTAAGAGAGAAATGCTATTCTAACATAGTTGATATGAGTAGGGACACTGGGTCAAGCTCAAGGTTGTTCTAAGTCTTTTCCTGTAGGGCTTTAGCTCAGATTCAGAGTTAGAACTTTCAGAAGGTCACAGTAGTGTGTACCTCTTGAGATGCTGTGACAACTTAATGCACTCATACACAAAATGTGTAGACTAATAGCAGGTTTGAAAGGAAAATAAAATCTCAGGACACTAAATCACTATGCCCAATGGGAAAGTTAGGCTTGGGAATCGGGTCACACAAAAACTGACTTCCCTTTTTTCCCAAATAGATAGCTGTAATTATACATGGTCACTTTATCTTATGCAAAATGTAGATCCAGTAAACATGAGATGAATGCATAATCAACTTTATCCCCCACTCCTCTATTTGCACATATCAAATGTGGTTTCAGTCAGTGCTAATCAAAGCCTCACCAGAATGCAAACGCTTGCCTCAGTGCCTAGCCCTTTTTGCTTCTTTTTCGCTCCTCCCTGTACTGCTCACTTTTCCTCCTTTAAATGCTTAAGCCATCAAAACTCTCTTTGGAAAAAGCACAGATCACAGATCCTGCTGTAACTTTTGTTTCTTTTTCCCATGAACATCCTCAACGTTGGCAAGATCTAGCTCTAAATTTATTGAGACCTGCCTCAGTCACTTTTTGGTTTACATTTTGGAAACCACAATGAATTCTGTGCAGAGTTTGGCCCTTTGGCCTGCAGCAACTCTCCTAGCAGGGCCCTGGTACAGCCAACTGGAAGCTTTGTATTGCTCTGACTGATTGGATGATTTGCTGAGGTCTGGGAGCCTCCCCCTACAGAGATCCCTGATCTCCCAAACTTTTTACTGGAGGTCTGAGGTATGTTCTCTTGTAGAACTCCCTCTCTGGGAGTTTGCTGCTTCTGAGGAGGCAGAGCGCAGTCTTCCACTTGGGCCAGCATCTCCAAGTAAGGAGCTGGCTGGGGGTTTTTAAATTGGATTTGGTGGCTTTGAGTCTAGCTTTCTTCTTAGCCAGTTACAAATTCTTAGGTTCAAAGATCTCAACTTATGTAAATTGTGCAATCACTTTTTGTTACTGTTTTGGTAAAAATCACTGTTTGTCTCCTCTACAAAGTTTTGATTGGAGATACATAAAAAAGATTTTAGAGACCTCATATTCTTAATAATTGATTAGAAAATAAAATTTTACAAATGACTTACAATAGCATCATGACTGTCCTTGAGAATTCTGGCTCTGTACATTAAAATCTATTAGCATTGCTTTAAATTCAGAAGACATACCCTTGATTAAAGTCCATGGTCAAATATTTAACTTTCTTTGGGTTCAATGCACATACATGTGTTAGTGTGTGTTCCAAAATTGTACACCAAACCTCTTGACACACAATTTACCTGTATTACAAACCTGCAAATGTACCTCAAACCTAAAACAAAATAATTGGTAAAATAAAATAGAAATGTTTTCAGAATTTAATTTAGATATTTGGTCTGAAATGGTCGGGCAAGTCAGATACTGTTTTTGCTGGATGTTTTAGGGCCATAAACTGCTGTGATATTTTAAATAATTGTTTGACTTGTCTTTCTTATAGCCATAGTAAGTCAGGGGACATACAGTGTTCTCCCTAACCTAGCTGTGCCCTCTGACTACACTGGGAAGGGTCAGACGTTATTGGCAGCTGTGTCTTTTGTCCCTGGCTCTGTACCTGATACATAAGGAAAATTTCTTACTTCCTAGATTTTTTCACTAAAAATAAGAGTTACTGAGGGGTAACATTACAATTAACATATATAATTAAATCTACTAGATGCATCCAAAGTGTATAATAAAATTGAGATGTGTTTTTAGAAAAAAAATTGCTATAGAAAGGTATGAGAAATGTGTTTTCCTTACAAAGCGAAAGTCATTTTGTCTACTGTAGAGGTTTTCAAATTGTCTTTAAATTGAAGACAAATTGATGGATAAAGCTAAATGGATACAGAAAGTTGGGGCTTCGTGTGGTGGTTCTTTCCTGTAATCCCAGCATTTTTGGAGGCCAAAATGGGAGGACTACATGAAGCCAGCAGTTTGTGACCAGCCTGGGCAACAAAGTGAGACACCATATCTACAAAAAAAACAGAAAAAAAAATGAGCCAGGCACAGTAGTGTGTGCCTGTTGTCTCAGCTACTCAAGAGGCTGAGGTGGGAGGACTGCTTGAGGCTAGGAATTTGAAGCTATAGTAAGCTATGATTGTGTCACTGCATTCCAGCCCAGGTGATAGAGGGAGACCTTGTCTCAAAAAAAAAAAAGGTAAAGGAAACTTGGAAAGAAATTTTTTGGTTGTTCTAAGGGAAAATGATAGAAAACTGAAAGTTCGATGGAATTGTAGATTTGTAGCAGATTGATCTTACAAAAGAAATATTGTGTGTGACCAAGTGGGTTGAAATTTAAAGGGTATTATTTAGTCTTTCTATAAATTGAACATTAAAAAGCACACTTATGCAAGCCCAGTATCTGGACATGATTTTCTCAGAGAACTTATCTGCTCCTCAGTAGAAAATAGTAAAATATTAACAAGCATTTCTTAAATTGTACCTTATGATTAAACTGATTCAGATTTGATGAATACATCTATAAAATTTTATTAAAATTGCTTTAGTATTAATACCACACCATGCAAAGGTAAAGTTGGTTTTCTTTTTTGAACCAGGATTTTGCTTAATATTAAGAGAGACTGAAAGATTTTTGTTTGCCTTTTGGGCAAATTGCAAAAAAAGAAGAGGGGAGTAAGTTCAGTTGGTCTCACACTGTATTTATTAGTTCTTACTGGATTTTCATTTTTTCAGGGTAGTTTTGTTTGTTTTTCTGAGACAGGGTCTCACTCTGTCACCCAGGCTGGAGTGCAGTGGTGTGATCTTGGCTCACTGCAACCTCCACTTCATGGGTTCAAGTGACCCTCTTTCCTCAGACTCTGTAGTAGCTAGGACCACAGGCACACACCAATACAACCAGATAATTTACAGATTTCTTTTTTGTAGAGACGAGGTCTCACTATATTGCCCAGGCTCGTCTTGAACTCCTGGGCTCAAATGATCTTCCCATGTTGGCCTCCCAAAGCAATGGAATTACAGGCACAAGCAGTGCACTCAGCCTGATATTAGACCTTATTATTTGAGAAACTGAATCTCCTTTCTCTATATCAAAGAAAAAGGTTTTTTGCTTTTTAGAAATATTTAAAATATCATTTTGGCATAATGAGTAATTTATTTCATCGTGATTGGTGATTTTATTTTGTAACATCAAGTGTTTCAAACCTTTGATATTTGACAAACTTTCCAAATCAAATTCTAATTCAGCCTTAGTGACCTAATTTTTTGAATATTAGGTCACCTGAAGTCCAACAGGGACACATTAGCCATATTTAATATGTTAAAATCATACAGGAAGCATGGATGAATATTTAACTTTCTTTGAGTTGTATTTACCTAAATATTAGCATGTGCTCCAAAATCATATGAGATGCCAATAATTCTGACATGCCTTACTATATGTTATCAGTAATAATTATGATTATTATGTCAAATTGTTGTATGACACTGAAATATCCAAATTTCTTGTTGACTGTACCTGTAACTATGACTGTCCTAAGAGTTTTTCATTCACAATTGTTGTTTTCCTTTGAGTATTCTCAATACATAGTTTATAAAAAACCAGTGGCGCAAAACATGCTTCTTTAGGGGAGTTCATGAAAATGATTCTGATAGGTTTTCTTGAATTTAGGTTTCTGATAACTTTGGAGATTGTGCCATTGTACTAATGAAAACAACAACAATAAAAACAACAAAACTCCCAGGATTCTAATTAACAGGCTGATGTGTTCATGAGGATTGCTAAGCCCATATAAAGTAGAACAAGGTAATTATGTGGGACTGAAGTAACTGAACACTGAAACAATTTTTTAGGACTTTTTGTCTGAAACATTGATGACTATTTTTCTTTCCTTTTTCAGAGTAAAGAAAACTTTTTTCTTAGATATTTATAGTTTTTAACAATTGAATATGGTATACTCTTTAGAGAAAAATTTTAAGTATACTTCTTTCTCTTACCTGATTTCCCCAGAATTTGAAAACTATTTCTGAATATTCTTAATTTATGGTACTATAAGTTATTTGCATATCATCAATAAGATTTTTTTTTTTTTTTGGATCGGGACACAATTGGAGACACTAGTTACCTTGCCAAGGCTTTCGCTGGAATAGCATATTTTCATCTATGAGCAGATTGCTTTGAGAAATTTAGGTTGAATAATACAGCCAATAAAATTCCCTTGGAGAGACTGGCCTTGTACCTTCTCTATGCATTTTCCTTACAGATTTTCTAACCTGTGGTAAGAAAAGCATGTTACTTTCTGACAGGCCTAGGAACTCCAAGTAATCTTGCGACCTCAAGGTGAGAGGAATTCACCCAGTTCATACAGTTATTTGCAAGCACAATAAATCCTTGTTTGAGCTTGAGGGGTTTTTTGAAAAGTCAAATCTTAGACACTTTGTTTAAAAAAAGGTTCCATCAATGCCAAATTAAAACAGCCTATAAGGAAAAAAAATACTGTTGCTGCACTCTGTGAAAATAATCAGGCCAAGTACAATAAAATGAAAACTTATTTTGGAAATAAATTGGTCTTATTATGATTTTTCTTTAGTAAAAATGGAAGACTATAAAAAGAAAAATGTATTTCAAATGAAACTATAGTACATCTTTTACTGGATTCTCACCCTGTTCATTGCTTTCCAGTTTTATCATTTGTCTACAATTTAGCTAGACTGGATCCTAAATTCTTTGCCGCTTACAAGTCTCCAAACTAACATTTTCAATGTTTTATTTTTTTTTCTTTTCCATTTTTTTCTGACTTGGAATTAGTAGAAATTAAAACTGTGCTTTTTGTAAAGCCCTGCACACTGAAACTAGAAAACTTAAACTTTGGGAGAAATAACAGCATCTCATTTATTTACATAAAACATTTCATGACTGTCTAGTTATATATGGACTGCTCTGTAATACAGTCTATCGGTTTTCAAGGATTGGTTTCTACCTTGTTGCTATAATCCAGCTGTGTCTCTTTTTTCTTATCTTTTCCCTTTATTTCTTATTCCCCCTATTTCTTCACAACCTTCTAGAATGAGTCTCCTTAAAAATGTGGATCCTAACTTTCTAGGAATAAACCATCCTAATGTTTAAGATTAGGGAAAAAATATAACCAAACACTCATTTTCTTCTAAAATGCTTTCTCTGAAATATTTTGAAGAACAAGGAAAACAAAATTTTGGAACCCCAAATTCACTATGACAAAGGAAATGTTGGGAACTGAGTCATGCTAATACTACCTTCCTTTTGTTCCCAAAGAGTCAGCTGTAATTTCACAAGGTTGCCTATCTTATGTAAAATGTATATCTACCACGCACAAGACAAATGCACAATCAACTTTTTCTCCATTCCTCTTTACACATGCAACATCTGGATGCAGTGAGTGATAATCCAGGCCTCGTAAGGATGTAACACTTGCCTCACTGTCTTTCCCCCCTTTCTTTATCCTCCATCCACTCCTCCCTGGTCTCGCCCCTATAAATATGGAAGTCAGCAAAACCTTCTTTGGAAAAAGCACAGGCCACAGAGCCTACTGTGACTTGTGTTTCTTTATCCTTAAACTTGGCAAAGTAATTCTCTGAACTGAATGAGATCTGTGTCAGTCATTTTTGTTTTACGTGGGTCTACACTAAACACTAAGTCAGTATTTGCTACTAGTGACAGCTTTTTCCAAGTAATTGCAAATAGTATCATATGTATCAACTGTAAAATACATCATTATTTTACATCACAGCAAAAGCATATAACTATTGAAAAAATATGACATCACAAAAATTTTATCTCATATATGTTGAAAATAATATATCTTATTTGAAACGCCTGTTCCTTGGTGCCATAAAGAAATAGCACTTGAATATAATTTCCTCAGCAAGGCCATTTTAATATTTTCTGCAGAAAGGGTACACTCACCAGCAGTTTTGCAATGAGAGTACACCGAACAAAGGAGACATGGTCGTTTATAACCTGATGCTTCCACCCTACTGCTGTGTCCAGTTTCCATTGGCTGGAACAGGACCTCACATTCTATATTTGTCCCGACTGGCTAGCAACTTAGAACTTTTTAAAAGAGGCAAAGGCAGAAGAGAACAAAGGAAGGAGGAAGTAACTTCTGGAATGCTGAGAAAAGTAAAAACACCTTCAAATAAGGAAGAGGAACAGGCTATGACCTAATGCTTGCTTGGACCAGTATAAGCATGCCAGGGGAAATATTTAGGCTAAATTGTGGGAGCTAAGAACATAAAGTACATTCATTTCTTTATTATGGCTAGCAGATATTTAAGAATGTTAGCACAGGTCTTTGAATAAATTTTGCTTCTAAGAGAAGTTACTATTTATTCCTAATGAGATAGGGAGGAAAGTCTTTGAAGAGGAACCTCTGTTTTACTTTTTACACTTTTGAACTTACATAAATGTGTGTATTTATGTTTTATCACTTCTATGATCACATGAGATAGAAAGTGAAAGCAAAATAGGTAATCAAGGTTTTCTAAAATTTCTCATATTTGGATAAAACTCTTCTAAATCACTGTGCAACTCACCTTGTCCATGGATTTTTTCTACACTAGCATCATCTCTGGTAATTAGGAGCTTTGCTGTTGCCATATTTGTAGTGAGAGAACTATAAGAGTTTCTGTTAGATTATGTGTCTCATCTACTAACGTCCCTCTCCAAGTTATGATGTTAAAGATACCACCAGAATGTGAAAATGGAAGTTTTTTACATCAAGTTCACTTGTGTGCACACAAAGTCAATCACATTATGACTGTCTTCTAACCAATAGTCTTTTACAATATTATGATTCATCTGTATTTGCAAGATGTAAAAAATATGCCTTTTAAAATAAATGGAACACACTATTTTTCCTCTGTGACTGCCGCCTTCTCAGTACAAAATTTTGTCGGCTCATCATATGTATTCTGGTCTCTTATTGTGAAAACATGCTTAACTATAGTTTCAAATTAGTTGAACAACTCGATTTACCTGCTACCTCAGGATTAGAGAGAGAGTTATTATTGGGTGACTAGAATTCCTATTTTAAATGTTCCTATGAATTGTTTTAATTTTATATCATCTGGGCATTTATTTTCTACATAGTATTGACATTCTCATACCAGAAATAGAGTTTAGAAACCCATGACAGTTTTCAGTTTCTGGCTGCCTCCACGTTCCTCAAGGTGGTCATTGAACATAGACCCTTATGAAACCTGCTCAAGGTGACTACTCCATATAAGACAGCTGAATACCACCTTTATCTCACCTCACTGTCCCCTGTGGGAACTGCACAGATATTCAGCAGTAACTACCTCTCAGTCAAACTTTGACTCTGTGGAAATCATGGTTGCTTTTCCTTAACTCAGCAATTTGAACTCCTCATGAGAAACCTGCTTGGGTAACACTGCAAAATCCAATGTGATGTTTACTTTTAGGAGTCAACTAACTGTATTAAGGAATACCTAGAACACTGGCAAAGCTTTACTTCTGGGTCGGTGAGGTTTCACCAGAAAGGTCTGAAATGTGAGTCAGTAGACAGAGTGGGTAAGATCCTGTGATGGAGCAGGGACCCTTTGTTAGGGGCCTGTAGCTTCCCCAAGCAGGGAAATAAAGGAAAATCATGAGTCCCTTCAAGGGAAATCCCTGGTACCTAGCTAGCGCTGAGAAAGAAATGAGGAACTTGATAAGCAAGAAGGTGATAGTAGCCTAAACAATCACCAAGGAAGTTACAGTCAGAAGATGTTTGTTTTGTTCTAAAGATCACATCTTAACATACATTCCTCAATCATTTTTCATAAACCTAGACCCCCACCAAAGGCATCTGCTGACAAGTACACCTTAGATAAGGGGGCCTGAAAACTGAATTCTGACTGCCATTCTTTGTACTAAATTTCTTCCTGAGGGGCCTAGAGGGAGGCAAATCCATTAGCCAAAGAGCTAACATTTTTTTTCTGCCGACCCCCAAATTTTAAACCAAACCTTCTTTTCTTTAACCAATTACAAATCAGAAAACCCTTGAATCTATGTATGGCCTGTAAGCCCCTGCTTCAAAATATCGTGACTTTTCAGGACAAAACCAATGTGTAAACTCCATGTACTGATTTATAATTTTGCCAGTAACTTCTGCTTTCCTGAAATTTACCCCTGCTTTAAAAAAACCCTTACCTGCAAGCCACTGGGGAAGTGGGAACTTAAGCATTAGCTGCCTCATCCGCCTTGCTTCACAATGTCCAGATAAACACCTCCTTTTCTCCCACTGCAAATGTCAGTGTAGGTATCTAGTCTTACTGTACTGGGTGAGCAGACCTGAGCTGAATTCTATAACAATCCACCCTCTATGTGGGTAGGCACGATCCAGTGGGCTGGGAGTACTGATAGAATGAAAAAGTAATGAGAATGATTTTGCTCTCCCTCTCTCCTGGAGCTGATACACTCTCTGCCTCCTGCCCTTGGACATCTTAACCACAGACTCTCTTCCTTGGGACTCCAGGACTTACTTCTGCATCCCTCCACATTCTCAGGCCTTTGGCCTCAGACTGAGAATTACACTGTCAGCTTTCCTCATTCTCATACTTTCAGCCTTGGAATGAGCCATGCTACTGGTACTCCATGGTTTACAGCTTACAGAAGACCTGTCTTGGCTTCCATCATAATGTGACCCAATTTATCTAATTAATGCCCCCCCCATCTGTCTACCTATATATGTATCCTATTGGTCCTGTATCTCTGAAGAATGCTAAAACAGGTTTTATTTTTTAAACCATGAATGATTGCAGAGAACTGGAATTTTAGGAACGAGTTTCTTTCATTGGTTTTGGGGTTTCTAAACTTAGGTCTCTAAACTGATGATACCTAAAAATGCTAAAGACTCCATTTCTAATAGTCCAGAAAACATTGCTAGTCCATGTCATAAACAGCTTAAGAGATATGCAAACATCTAGCTTTGACACTCCTAATCAACACTGATAAAAGACAGGGAACTTGGTGACTCTGACATCACATCTTTAAACGTCTGTGGAAAATCAAGGCCTCTGCTTCTAGCATTGATGAGTAAAGTGATCGATAAAAAAGATAAGCTAAGAGATTCACATTTCAGAATTTCAAAATTCGGCTTCACATAAAAAGCCTTAGAGCTTCTTACAGCGCTCTGAGTGAGAATTATATCTCCTATAGTCACGGGGCTGAAAACGCTAGAAGTCAAACACAAACCCTCACTGTGAAGTTGGCTGAGTTACTATGAAAGTTGAACTTTCAGCCTGGCAAGGTACCTACTGTAAATTTACAGCACTGTACCGAGAAGAATGGAACTCTGTAGAGTGGGTTGGGAACATTTTGAGAGACCATGTTGAGGCTGGAGACATTGAGCTCTGAAATTCCGACGTCTTCTTTGCCAGTAGACCTGACCCCCTACTGACACCCTCTTGGCAGTAGCCTCTTCACCCACACTGGTAAAGGTGGTTCCACCTCTGTCTGAAGGGATTACGCCAGCATTGCCTGAGGGAAAGGTAATGGACTGCAATGCAGATTCTCCTAAGGCCCCACACCCACCACTCCTTTTTGCTTCTAGGCCTATAAGTAGACTCAAATCTCAAAATGCCCTTAAAAATGATATACAAAGTTTGGCCCACGGGAGGTTCATGACAGTTCAAGAAAACTATTTGACTTTATAATTTATACAAGCAGAAATCTGGAGAACATGTGTGGAAAAGGGTATTAAGAGTTAGGATAATAGTGGAGGAAACATAAAGTTGGATCACCCAGATTTACTGATATGGACTCATTAAAAAAGATACTGCTTGTAGTTTTGCAGCATGGGAAATTAGAAAGGGCCCTAACGGTTGGTTGGCTGAACCATGAATCAAAAGATGGCCCTTATTTAGCCAGTTGGATATGCCTGATCTCCCTTGGACTAACATACAGGCAGAGATTTAAAGGCTTAGAACAAATGGAACTCCAGAGTGCATTTGTCTCTTGACCCGTGCCTGGCCAATGGGAGAGCTTTTACATCTTAAATCACTCAAAAGGTAGCCCAAGGCCTAGAAATCCCCTTAAAACTCCACACAGCAGGGAGACCCCAGGCCTCAGGAGAAGCAGAAAAAGCCACTTAAAGCTTAAAGAGAACATTGGGTAAACTGTGCTGGGAAACAGAGGAAAACTGACTCACTCTCTTACCATAGCTCTTCTGGACTGTAATCATCCGGTGGATGTGATCATGCATTCTCTGACAGTAGTCAGCCTCTTTTCCCAGGCACCTATGTCATCAGTCACCGGGCTTATGAATAAAGTGGCCACTGTGGTAGGGACTGAGGTTTTGCATACACACAGCAATCTGGAATTCCTTTCACCATGGCCAACCAGGTTACAGACCCCTCTGAGTGTTCCAACTGTCAGCAGCAGAAACTAACACCGAGCCCCTATATGGCACCATTCCCCAGGAAGATCTGCCAATTTCCTTGTGGTAGGTTGTTTACATTGGGCAGCTTTCGTCAGGGAAGGGGCAGCATTTAGTTCTTCCTGGAATAGTAAGACAGTTACTCTGTCTATAAATTTTACTTCCTTGCATGCAAGTATTCTGTGGAAACTACCACCCATGGACTTAATGCCTATCTACCATCATGGTATTCCACGTTGCCTTGCTTCTGAACAAGTAACTCACTTCACACACAAAGAAGGGCAGAAATGAGCTCATGCTCAGAAACTTCAGTGAATTCACCATGTTCCCTATAATCCTGAAGCAACTCACTTGAAACAATGGTGGAATGACCTTTGGGAGTTACAGTTCCAGCACCTGCTAGATGACAATACTGTGTTAACTGTGGGGCAAGGTTCTCTAGAAGGCTGTATATGCTCTGAACCAGCATGCATTATATGGCGCCATTTCTCCCGAAGCAGTGTGGTCACAAACACTTCATCAATCTCTAAGGACTCCCAAATATTTCCTATCTTCTAAACCCTCACAAGAATACAGGCTTTTACTAGTCTGCCTCTCCAAGATTCTTTTAGCCTCTGCCCATCACCCAGTTTGAAAGACACTTTCATATTTTCAGGTATTCATTTTCAGCAACAACCTACTTGTCATTACCAGTTTTCTGTATTAGTCCCTTCTTTGTTGCTTAAAACAGAATACAAAATATTGGGTAATTTATAAAGAAAATAAATGTATTTCTTACACTTAAGGCACAAATGATGGCTTGGCAGCCTCCACAAATTTCAAAGTATTTTTTTTGACAGCCTGGGAGTCCAGAGAGAGAGTTGTCACACGGCTAGATCCACTGCAGAGAGACCCCAGTAGAAGGATGCCAAACACAAATGTGGGGTTGGAGCTGCTGCAAAGAGTCCCCACCAGGGCAATGCCAAGTGAAGCCACAGCAGTGAAATCACTGCAGAGAGTTCCACATGGGTAATGCCTAGTGGTGCCAATACCAGGATCCCAGGATTGTGAAGTCCCCTGTGGCATTCAATGCCTGCCTGGGAAAATTTCAACCAGTACAAGCACCCACAGGTGATTCACCAAGGGGAACCGTAGGGGTGACACTGCCTAGGGCTTGCCACTCCAACCCTCACCTCAGTGTGTTAAGGAGTTAAAAAAAAAATAGGCTCTCCAGCTTTAAGATGTAATGTTTGCCCTCCTGGACTTCAAATTTACTTAGGGGCTGTTACTGTTTTCTTTGTGTCTATTTCTCTCTTATAGAATGGGAATGTGTACATTATGTTTATCCTGAAATCACCTTTGAAAAAATTCTAACAGTGAGAAAATTATGACTGTAAAAGAGAGATGACCTGACTGAATACATCTTGCCTTTAATCTCCAAGCTGCCCATGTTTGTTCCTGGACAAAGGGAATATTAAAATTATAGCCTAACTTTGAAACAAAGATGACAGCCCCTCCTTGAAACAAATCCCTTAATTGCTTGGAGACCAGATCACCTTTGTAAAACCAACAAATTAACCACAAGATTAGAAAATATGGTTCAAGAGCCATACAGCCAGAGGCCATAAGATTACTAACATCCTCAATTGTTCCTAGAGACAGCATTCATACTGTGAACCTAAGGGGCCTAGGATCCCTATAAGCCCACTGTTTGGGCTGGCCCTGCAGACTTGTTAGTTACAAAATTTGCTACACCTCCCTGAAACAAAAAAGTTGAAGTTTCCCTCTTATCTTGTTTTATGTCCTTGAAAACTTGACTTAGTAACCATGTGAGGATGCTGTCCCTTGTTCTCCCACATACACAGGGTTGGAATTTCTGGATTCAGTTCAGGCAGCCAGTCTGAAAGGATACATAATAATGTCACAGCTAGCTTTAAGGATTCTCTTGAGCAGTTACAATCCTTGAAGCTTGGAGCTGACTGACCTACATTATTTCTGACCAACAGCAACTGCCCCATGCTGTAGCTCAGTAACTAAGGTTTTTCCCTTTTACTGCAGCAGCCTGGGTTTGATTTTCAACTCAAGCACTAAGCCCTTTCTAGTGTGATATTTGGAGACTGTTTGCCATTCATTCGATGATTTTCTTCTCCATGGACATCTTCTCACTTTCTGTCTTAAATTTTCCTTTCTAAGCTATCTTTGGGGAAATTCTCAATCTTGCAAAAACTGCTTGCCATCTCTGTGAGACACCTCATGCATCCATGGTTAAGTCATAACCTTAGTTAGGCTTATAAGTTTCTCATGGGAAGTTACCTCTGGAAAAGTTTAAAGCCAAAAATACTACCTATTTGTCCTGGCTAAAATCTATTAATAAAAGATTTCAGCAGATTTTCTTTGGAGATCTCTGTAATCAAAAATCAACTTGATTAAGGCTGATATTGAGCTACATGTGTACAGATACTATTTTAAAGCCTTTGCTCTCCCTCTGTAAAAGTTTCTCATTCAGTGGAATTCTTTCTGATCCTCCATTTACTCCTGTCTGTTCCTCCTTCCTCTTGTATCTAACCTTTTTGACTTGCAGAGACCTGAAATTACTTTGCATTATGAAAAAAAACTTAACCTTGATGTGTAATAACTAGATGAAAAATATACTTTTTGAAATGACTAATGGTAGTTGCTTATAGTAAGTGATTATTACTACAGGGTGATACTCTTTTATTTGTACATTTAAATAAGAAGGATGTGCTCTTATGAGCTGATTACAGAGTGGGCTGATGCGTGCTGGGTTGTCCAGCGGCCTTGAGGAAATGTCCTTACAATGAAATACACTGTGGAAGCATTGCACTGTGTCATGCCATAGAATGCCATATTGTTTGCCTCTTTAGGGGACCCAGGATTCAGTACAAAAATAAGATTCATCATTTAGGGGAATCTGTTTTGCCTTCCACCTCTGCCTGATTACTAGGACCTAGAAACTGCATGCTTTCCTGGTTCTTTTCCTTAAGAGGTTCCACCCCAAAGGCAATAATCCCATTTAAAAACTTAACAACTTTAAGAAAATCTCCACATGTAAGAGTGTCTGCTTTTCCTGGCCATCCTCACTGAACTTTTACCCCCACATTTTTCCTTGCTTTAGATAAAATATAAATTCTCTATAATTATTTCACCTAAGAATTATCCCTTTAAAATAAAAGTGTGGAACTGCCTGGTTAAAAACTTTTTAGGGCAGGGAACAGGTAATCAAGAGACTGATGATCTAAAATGAAAAAGAAAAACTTAAAAACTGACAAATGAAGAATCCATATAACTCTACCAGATCTGCTTCTCTATGTCTGTGTATTTATATGCTCCATATATGCAATATTTTGCTGACAAACTATATAAAAGAGCTCTAATAAATGGGCGTATATATGCACTTAAATAAAATATTTTATCAGAAAAAATTTAACTAAACTGCTTTTTGTTCACATGACTCTAATAATCTTTGAATGATAAAGATAGCTTTAAAGATTATTGGTACAATAAAATTATTTCTTCAACATTTAGACATTTGGTCTAAATTAGGCAGGTCAGATATTCTCTTTGCTGTTTTAAGGTTACAAATATCTATGACTTTTTGTAAGTGTCCAACCTGCCTGCATTAGAGCCAGCAGCTTCTAGGTAAAGCCTGGGGACATGCTGAGTTAGCCACGCCCCCGAGCTATGTTGGAAACAGTCAGACATTATCTTCATTTCTGTCCTGTGTCCTAGGCTCTGCACTTGGTACGAAATTAAAATTACTTTCACTAAAAATAAAAGTTGTGAAGATTTAACATTGTAACACATGTGATTGACACTGCTGAGAAAAGATTGACATTCAAGGTATATAAAAATTATAAAATGTGTTTTTGTAAAAAGTTATAAAAAGACCTGAAGATATTGTTTTTGTTTAAAAAAGTAATCTTGTCTAAATTAGAGGTTTTAAAAATTGTCTTAAGTTAAAAAATAATAGGAGAAAACGGAAGGTTTAAGCAGGTTATAAAAGGTTTGTAAAAGATTGGTCTAGTAAAGAAAGTTCTGTGTGTGAGTGTGAGCAACTTGCCAAAACTTGAAGCAGGTTACTTAGTTTTTCTACAGAATGATCATTAATGTAAAAATCACAGTGATACAGGCCCAGAATCTGCCCCCTTAGGTGTGATCAACAGAGTTTTCATGGAGCATTAATCAGTTGTTTAGTAGAAAATTGTAAACAGTTATGGTCTAACTGATTTAGATTGGATAGATTTGTTTATAAGGTTTTATGAAAAATTGTGTTTGACATTAATAAAACACTAATTAATAAAACACTAATAAAACATTAATAAAAGGTAAAATTTGGTTTTCTCTTTAAACAATATTTTTGTATAATACTGACAGATAATAAAATGTTTTTTATTTGTCTTTTAAATAAACTGAAAAAAGTAGGGGAGAGAGAAGACACAGATTCAGATGGCCTCATGCAGTCGTTACTTGGTCCTGTTGTTTGGGAGCTGAGTCTCCTCTCTACCAATGAATAAAGGCTTTTGCCTTTTTAAATTTTTGAGCTATCATTTTGGCTAAACAAATGATTTGTGGTTATCTGGGATTCTATTTTGTGATATGAAGTGTTTTAAAACTTTAATATTTGCACACTTTGAAAAATAAAATTATAAACTAAGAATTTTTATTTTAACTCATTAGCCTTTTAAATATTACGTCCCCTGAAGTCCAAAAGAGATATATTTGGCTTATTTGGTATATTAACCTACAGAAAACACTGTCAAATATAAAATCATGTTTAACTTTCTTTGGGTTATATTTATATAAATATGTTATTAGTATGTATTCCAAAATTATATGGTTCCTATAATTCTAATATGTCTTAGTATATGTTATCAGTCATAATTATTATTATTATGCTGAATTGTTATGTGCCACAGAAATGAACAGATTTCTTTGTCGATTGTGTCTTTAACAATGGCCTCATTGGACACAGCGACTCATGCCTGTAATGTCCTCACTGGGCACGGTGGCTCATGTCTGTAATCCTAGAACTTTAGGTGGCTAAGTTGGGAGGATTGCTTGAGCTCAGGTGTTTGAGATCAGCCTGAGGAAGATAGTGAGACCTTTTCTCTACAAAAAAATCAAAAAATTAGTTGGATGTGGTAGCACTTGCCTGTGGTCCCAGCTCCTCTGGAGGCTGAAGAAAGAGGATTGCTTGATCCCAGGAAGGTGAGGCTACAGTGAGCCATAATTGTGCCACTGCACTCCAGCCTGCATGGCTTCAGACCCTGTCTCAACAAAATCAAAGTAAAATTAATAAAACAATGACTGTCCTGAGATTATTGTCATCCACAGATTATTGTGCTCTTTTTTTTTAAACTATTCAAAAGGTGTTTGCTCTTTGAAATGTTCTCTTGAATACAGGTTTCTGATAACCAAAGATTGTGGCATTGAAATAGGAAAAAAACAAAACCAAACAAACAAACCTCCAGGACTGTCAGAGATAGCTGGTATGTTTATGGGGACTGCAGGTCCAATGTCAGACAAAGTTCACTGCATGGACTGAACTAATAGAAGACCACAATAATCATTTTATGACTTGTTGCTTGAAATGCTGCTGATCCTTTTTGTTGTTTTTCAGAGTCAAGACCACATTTTTCTTTTTTCTTTTTTATTTTTGTTTTTGAGATTGAGTCTCGATGTCACCCAGGCTGGAGTGCAGTGGCGCGATCTGGGCTCACTGCAGGCTCCACCCCCTGGGGTTCATGCCATTCTCTTGGCTCAGCCTCCCGAGTAGCTGGGACTACAGGCGCCTGCCACCTCTCCTGGCTAATTTTTTGTATTTTTAGTAGAGACGGGGTTTCACCGTGTTAGCCAGGATGGTCTCGATCTCCTGACCTCGTGATCCACCTGCCTCGGCCTCCCAAAGTGCTGGGATTACAGGCGTGAGCCACCGTGCCCGACCTCAAGACCACATTTTTCTTTTCAGCTATTTACAGCTTTTCATGGTTGAGTAAAGTATATTCCTGTGAACAAAAGATGAAGGATATTTCATTTTCTCTACTTGATTTCTCCAGAATTTGAAAACTATTTATGAGTATTCCATGCTATGGCGATATAGTTATTTACATAAGTACAATAAGAATCTGATTTCTTTTGTAACAGAACACAATTAGAGACACTGATTATTTTACCAAAGCTGTGGTTATGTTACCAGTCGAATGACCTACTTTCAGATACAAACAGACAAGCTGGAGGAATTAAAGTTGACTAACAGAGTTGATAAAAGCCCCTTAAGAAACTGACCTCCTAACTGTCTACACAGGCCTTGTACAGGGTTCTTGACCTGTGGTTAGTAAAAAATGTCACATTCTGACAGGCCTATGATTCCTAAATTATCTTGGGAGCTGAAGAAGAGAGAAATTCAAGCAATCTGTACAAGTATTTGCAGGCACAGATACATCCCTTGAAGGCTTTAAAAAAGTCCAATCCAAGATTCCTTAGGGAACAAAGTTCCAGCAAACCCAATTTAGAAAGGGCTAATACGGCAAATAATTACTCTTGCTGAACTTTACACAAATAGTCAGGCTAAGTATAATAATAACAAAATGTATTTTGCAAATACATGTGTCCTACTATCATATGTCTTAAAAAAATGAGAACTAGAGAGCAAAAGATTGTATGTCAGAAAAATACTATAGCACACTTATTGTTACATTCTAGTCTTGTCTATTGTTTTTGAGCTTTTTATTGTTTTCTGCACTTTGGACTGAATCCTGAAACCTCTCAGAGCTAAAGTCCTCAAACTAACACATTCACATTTTTCTTCCACTTTTCTGACCTGGACTCAATGAAATGGCTACGAACTTCTTCCTGAGGCCCTGCAGGCTGAAGCTTATCCCTTGAGATACAGATGCGAAATATGTGAGATTGTCATCACTATCCTCCTTTGCAACTTAAAAATGCTTTGAATCTAACATCTGGATGCATTGTGCCCAAGATCAACCTTTGTTATTATTTTCTATTTCCATACAAATGCCTGTTATTAAAAATATTTTTTGCCTTAATCACATAAGGGGGCCTAGTTCATTTGCAGTGACACCTCCTGGAATGAAACACAGCTAGGATCTATTCTGAGGACTAGGAAACTAACTAAAAAGATATGAGATGGTATATTTAAATTTGCTCTTTCCTGTTTATCCAAATTTGTCTTTCTAACAATCTCTCACCCATATCTCTCTTGACCATTGACCCCATGTCTGACTGGTTCTTGGCGCTATGCACCCGAATCGCTCAGGGATTTAGACAAATTATATAAGGACTTCTGAAGCTAGGACTTCCACTCCTTATATTAGGATTCATTATCCTATAGTCAGCTGTTCACTTAAGTGCTGTACTAAAACTGTGGATGAGAGTACTAACGTCTTGGTCATGCAAGCCTAGGAACCCCAACCAGGCACCTGTGAATACATGCAGGCAGCTGCAAAGCAGTTTCATTCCATTTACTCTGGGGCCAAACCCTATCCCAAGTATACCCCTTGTCAGCAGGAAGAAGTTAGAATGGTCTTTGGCCTTTTCCCAACTCTGTACCTCACCCATTAAGAATAAGATGCAATGAAACTTGCAAGGGGAAATTGGAATCACGTTTGCAAAAACAGTAACAGTAAGAAAATTATGATAGGGAGAGAGATATGACCTAAGTGACTTCATCTTGCATTTAACCTCCAAGAGGCCCTTGCTGATTCCTGGGCAAAAACAAACTAACTTCGGGAGAAATTTACTTTGTAGCTTAACTTTGAAACAAAGATAATAACAGCTCCCCCCTGAAACAAAACCCCTCATTGTTTGGGGACCACATCAACTTTGTAAAACTAACAAATTAACCACAATATTAGAAAGTATGGCTCAGGAGTCATACAATCAGAGGCCACAATATTAATAACCTCCCCAATGGCTCCTATAAATAACATTACTATTGTAAAACCTAAGATTGGTGTTTGAGGTATTTTTCATAACTTGCATCCTGACAGATCAGCGGGTGCCACCCAAACCAGTAAACTGGCTCATCTGGATACGTGGCCCACACCCAGGAGCTGAGTCAGAAAAGAAGATGGCTTTGACTTCCTAAGATTTCATCCCTGACCCAACCAATCAGCATGTCCCTTTCTCTAACCCCTGCCCACAAAACTATCTATAAAAACTCTAGCCTCTGAATATTTGGAGAAGCAGTTTTGAGTAATAGGAAAACTCTGCTCTCTCCTTTAGCCAGCTCTACATGTATAAAATTTTCTCTACAGCAATTCCCCTATCTTGGTGAAGTGGCTCTATCTGGGCAGCAGCCAACATGAACCCATTGGCCATTAACAACCCAACTGCTGAATTTTGTATGAAGATAACTTGTTTTGATTTCATGGGCTGACAGAGGAGACTTTAGCTGTGGGAACTTTCTGTTGGTGCTGGAACAATCTAAGCCTTTGAACGATAGGAATGAAATAAACTTTTTGTAAGTGACAGGACGAGATTTTTAGAGTCAGAAGTGGAGCCCTGTGGTTGGAATATTGCTTCCCTCCAAAATTTATGCTGAAATTTCATCCCTAACGTGGTAGTACTGAATTGTGAGACCTTTAAAAGGTGACTGGATCATGAAGAGTTTGACCCATAAATGAATTAATCCTTTCATGGATTAATAAATTAATATTTAAAGATTAATAGTCTACTATGAGAGAAGAGTGGCTTATAAGAAGGGAGACATGATGTTGCATGTCAGCAAGCTCTACTCCATTGCCATATGATACCCTGTAGGCTTCAGAACTCTTCAGAGAGTCCCAACCAGCAACAGGATCTCGCCACATACAACCTCTCAACCTCAGCCTTTTCAGCCTCCATAACTGTATGAAATGCATGTGTTTTCTTTATCAACTACTCAGTTTCAGGTATTCTGTTATAAGTAACAGAAAATGGACTAAAACAAAGTCTTAGTATTACTATGACCTGTTATTAAGTTCAATGGATTATTACAACCATTCCAGACAAGAATACAAATGATCCAGACCTTTCAGGAATGAAGGTTTGCATCACCCTGCCAGGTAAAGACCCAGGACCAGCAGAGGGGCTTGCTGAAGACAAAGAGAATACTGAATGGGTAGCAGTAGAAGGGAGTTACAAATAGCAGACAGGACCAGGTGACCAGTTACAGAAACAAGGATTAAAATTGTCACTAGTATTTCCTATCAACTTTAAGAATACATTTTCATGTTATATATAAATATATTAGACAAATAACATTGTTTTTATTTCTCTCTTCTTCTTTTGTCACATAACACAAGAATGTATTAACTTGATATTAGCAGTTAAGTGTTAGTAGTTTAACATATTTCTGTTGAAGTTATGGGGTATCAGGAGAAGAGTAACCATCACCCACAAACTTCTACTACTCTTAGGAAAAATAGTATAGTGTGTTCTCGTTGCACACAGGATCGTTGCATCATGTTAGGTAGAACTATTGCCTTGTTATTGTCTGTATCTGAAGATTAGTTAGGGCTTAAGGTGATACATATAGGTGCCAACTAGAAAGGTGCTGGACTTGTCATGGTTAATTTAAGATGCTGACTGGATTAAAGAATACCTACAGAATTGGTGAAGCATTACTTCTGGGTGTGTCTGCCAGGGTGTTTCCAGAGGAGATTGGTGTATGAGTCAGGTAATTTAGTGGGAAAAATCCACCCTCAATGGGGGAAGGCAGCATACAATCTCCTTGGGGACCAAATAGAACCAAAAATTAAAAATTTTTTTCAAGTCTTCCTGTCTCTCTCCTGAAGAAGTTATACTCCTTTTTCTGCCCTCTCTCCTGAAGAAGTTATACTCCTTTTCCTGCCCTTGGAAAACAGAACTCCATGATCTATGGCCTTGAAACTCCAGAACTTATACCAGTAAATGCCCTGGATTCTCAGGCCATTGGTCCCAAACTGAGAATTACACCAAGGGCTTCCCTGGTTCTGAAGATTTCAGCTTTGGACTGAGCCACCACGCTACAGCATCCAAGGTCCTTAAACTCACAGATGGCTGTCTTGGGAATGCTCTGTCTCTACAATGTTACATGAGTAAATCCCCAAACAAAATGCCTTTCATCTAACTATTGTCTATCTATCTATCAACTCTCCATCTATGTATCTATCTATCTACCTACCTACCTATCTACCTCCCTGTAGTTCTGTCTCTCTGAAAAAAAAATGACAAATACACCCATAAAGACTTCAGCCAAATGGTGCAATACTATGTCTTTCTCTAGTTGCTCCTCCACCACCCCTGCTGCTTATGAGTGTATGTCCTGGAGAGCTCTTCTCTTTCCATCTGCACTTCAAGGAATGCTGCCCTCTTCTTACTGGGATTGGTTAGTAATACATGACTCATGCCATTATACACATTTTGTTGAGTTGCCTCCTCTGTATTTCACTTTACAAACACACATGGACATCACTTTTCTCCCACTTAGCACTCTCCTAGAGAGTGGTTACCTTGGTAGAAATAAACTAGACACAGGTCAGACAGGAGCCACAGGGTGTCTTACAGTATAAACAAGTACTCTGTGAGAAGGATACCTGGATGTAAGCTGGACAGTTGGGCTTTAGGCCATCGACCAGGATAAGTAAGCATCCCATGAAAGGCACAGCCAGTACCAAACCCTGAGTCATATTGGGCAAGGCTATAGGTTATAGCCACCATCCAGAGGGGCCTTAACAGCAAACAGAAGTAAAAATAAAACACATGCTGTGAGATAATTTTAGAAACTATAGTTTCAGGAATCCTTGAGAGGGAAAGTAAAACTGGCAAGGCATTATTTGAAAGTTTGCACTGGGGTGGCAGCTCTCCAACGATAAAGAAAAATCTCAGGCCAGGAGCGGTGGCTCACACCTGTAATCCCAGCACTTTGGGAGGCCGAGGCGGGTGGATCACAAGCTCAGGAGATTGAGACCATCCTGGCTAACACGGTGAAACCCCGTCTCTACTAAAACCACAAAAAAATTAGCTGGGCATGGTGGCGGGCGCCTGTAGTCCCAGCTGCTGGGGAGGCTGAGGCAGGAGAATGGCGTGAACCTGGGAGGCAGAGCTTGCAGTGAGCTGAGATCACGCCACTGCACTCCAGCCTGGGTTACAAAGTGAGACGCTGTCTCAAAAAAAAAAAAAAAACTTTATCTAGAGGATTTCAGCCCTAATGATAGAGATACAAAGAATGATCTCTATAACTTATTTATTTATTTATTTATTTATTTATTTATTTATTTATTTATTTATTCATTCATTCAATGGCGTTTCACTACATTGCCCAGGCTGGAGTGCACTGGTTATTCACTGGCACAAGCACAGCACACTACACAGCCTCAAATTCCTGGTACCACATGTTCATCCTACCCACCCTCCCTAGCAGCTGGGACTGACTATAGGTGTGTGCCACCACACTTGCACAGATACAATTTTTATTTTATGTTTTTTTTTTGGCTTTTAAAGTCAAATTTATTACATTGTTTTGTACAGCAAAATTCACCCTTTTACATGAACTATTTTATTCATTTGGACAATGAATACAGGAATATAAACATCACTGCTGTCAAGATTCAAAAAATCTTACCATTGCCCCAGAAAGGTGCTTCATGCCCCTTAGATACAATTTTTAAATCAAGAAAGTTGCATTTCTTTTTCTTCTTTCCCATAGTCATCATAATCATGTGAAGAATGATCATACAAATCATTTTATGATTAGTTACTGCAGATGTAGATGCATTATAGTTTCCATACAATCTTTTATGCTGTCCACTTGTTACTTGGATCAACTTTATTTCTGGTTACTTGAGAGGAAGAATGGGCTTTAGTGTTCCCTGAAGAAGAGAGTAAAATAGAAACTCATCTGATTTATATTTTATAATATTATTGCATTTGTACCATGAGATTTAGGTTCCATGTAGGCTCAATTAAGTTAACAGGGAGACCTGATCTCAAATATATGAGCCATGTCTACACTTCTATTTATTTTGAAATAATTTTAGATTAACAGAGAGTTGTTAAAATCTTACATAAAGTTGTATATACCCTTCAATTTCCTGTTATATTAATATCACACACAGAACCACAGACTATCTATGAAAACTCAGAAACTGATAAAGGCACTAAACTATTAACCAAAGTACTGACTGTCTTTATATTTTACAAGGTTTTCCACTAATGCCATTTTTCCTTTTTTTGGATCTAATCAAGGATAACATATTATGTTTACATAAAGTGTATTATTGTTTATTGCAGCATAGCGAATAACTACATAGCTTAGTGGCTCAAAAGCACATACAAATTACTCACAGTTTCTCTGAGTCAGGAATCCAGATGTAGATGATGGCCAAGGCTGAGGTCTCACCTGAGGATCAGCTGGGGAGGAATCATCTTCTAAGTTCTCGTGATTGACCTGGTTGAGAAGACTTCACTGATGAATTATTCGAAACCTTTAAAATATCAACAGCAATTTCTTACTAACTGTTCTCCAAAAAATAAAATAATAGAGAAGAGATCAGTGTGCAATACATTCTATGAGGCAGTTTCCTCTGAGGCCACAACCAAACAGAGACAGTCCAAAAAAGTAAAACTATAAACTAATATGCTTTATGGATACCCAAGCAATAATTCTCGAGCAAACAGTCTGAACAAAGATCAGGATCGTAAAACATAATTAAACACTAACTTATTTATTTATTTATTTATCCAGGATCACAAGTTTGGTAAAACATATAAAAAGAATTAGTGTAATCACTATATTAATATAATAAATGACAAAATTTTCTTTATCACATCTAAAGATATGGAATAAACACTTTCCAATTCAAAAACCCACTCGCAGTAAAAACACCAAACAAATTTTGCATAAAGGGAATGTTCTTACTAACACAGGCACCTATGAAAAATTCATATGACAACACATGGTATCAAGTAGGTCTCAGTAATTTTCCCAAAATTATAAACACAAAAGGTTATCTATTCCACTAATTCAACTAAACATTATGCTTGAGGATGTAATTTATAAAATTAGGCTGGAAAAATAAATATAAGACTTCCAAATTGAAAGGGAAGAAGTCAAACATCTATTGGCCAGTGACATAATCTAATGTATAGAAAATCCTAAAAAATTCACTAAAATAAGGTTGGAACAAAAAAAAATTCAGTATGCATGATCAATGTAATAAATTGCATTCTTATACAATAGAAACTAATCAAATAATGAAACTCAGAAAATAATTTCATTTAACATGGCATCAAAAAGGAAATATATTTGAAAATAAACAATATAACTGCAAGATATATATACTGAAAATTACAAATAATATTGAAGTATTAAAGAAATCCTAAATAAATGAATAAAAGAATTAGTGTAATATACTATATGAACTACATTTTCATTGATTAGAAAGTTATTAAGTATTAACCAAGATGCTTATACTTTCTAAATGCATCTTCAGATTCAATACAAGCCCTACTAAAGTTCTAACTTTAATTTTTTCTCATTTTTAGCAGTTCTTGGACCACTGATCCTAAAATGCACAGAAAAACACAATTGATCCAGAACAGCCCAAGGAATGTTAAATATTTTTTACAGAAACACAAATGACATTTATAGAAGGTCCATCCATAGGGGAAAGAGGCATAATTCCCCACTTTTTATGTATGTGCTGTGCATAGTGATGTTTTTTCCAAAAGGTATAACATGAAAAGGGGAATAATATTAATTTTATAGTGGAGAAAACTGAGCTAAACTGCCTCATCCATGTGATCAAATAACATTAACCATGATAAAGCAGCTGGGCACAGTGGCTCACACCTGTAATCCCAGCACTTTGGGAGCCTGAGGTGAGAGGATCGCTTGGGGCCAGGACTTACAGACCAGCCTGAGCAATGTCGTGAGACTCTGCCTCTACAAAAGTACAAGTAAAATTAAATCACCCAGATGTGGTGGCACATGCCTGTAGTCCCATCTACTCAAGAGGATGAGGTGGAGGATCATTCAAGCCCAGGAGTTCGAGGCTGCAGCGAGCTTTGTTCATGCCACTGCACTCCGGCCTGAGCAACAGAGTGAGACCCTGTCTCAAAAAAAAAAAAAAAAAAAAAAAAGTGATACAGCATGTTGACACTATGTACTCTTGTTATAACATCATGAGAATAAAAGTTTCCCTCTGTAGGTTTCCTCTGCTAAATTCACAACAGCCATCCAATCATTAGGAAAACACCAGAGACATCCCAAAGGATTTCAATGATATCAGAAATAAGGAAAATCTGAGAAACTGGCACACGATACCTAAACGTGATGTGGTGTCCTGGGCGGAATCCTGGAACAGAATATGGACATTAGGTGAAAACAGAACATCTGATTAATTGTGAATGTTGCTGAATGATAATGTATAATACTGGTTCATCAATTGCGACAAATGTCTCAAATGAATGTAAGAATTTATGAAAGGGAAATTATGTGTTGAATATATATAAACTCTCTGTATGTACTTCTAACTATTCTGTAAATCCAAACTATTCTAACATAGATTTAAAAAATAAATAAAATATATATTTAAAAAAAATTACACTATTGAGCTTACTAAGCAGAACATTGTCGATCTCGTAGCGTCCCAGGTGCTCACCTCCCCATTCCCACCCTTTTTGTTACCCTGGCGAACATTATTATTATTTTTAATTTTCCTTTTCCCATTCGCAAACTTTTCTTTCTTAGTTTTGGTCTCTAAATTTGTATTTGTAAATAATGTCCTGTTTGCTGTTTCTTGTCTTCACAAATAGATAATTACATGTCTCTATCTATATTGCTCAGTAAAATTATGAGAAACATTCAGAGAAATCCAGATTTTGATACATTTTACAAACTATGTGACCTGTTTTCTCACAAAGTGAGGACTGAGAACCTGTCCCAGATTAAGCAAGACCTGACATTGGCAGGTGATCTCTAAGATGGTGCACGATGATCCTCAGAGCTTAATTAGAATATCTAATCTTTTTTCTTGTGACGTTGGGGAGAAACTGAGACTTGCTTTGATACATCAGAAGACTACAACCTGATAGGATGTCACTTGGGTAATCATGTTACCTAAGATTATGATACCTGTCTTGCTGCAAGCTCTCTGTCATGGTGGTTTTGATGACACATTCTGCCATGGGAGAGAAGCCAACATGGGAAATAACTGAATGCAGCCTCTGGCCACAGACAGCAAAAAACTGAGGCTCCTGGTCCAGTATCCTGCCCTAGAGGTGGCAATTTATATTTACAACTAATCTAAGCTCCTTTCATATAAAAGTATACTGCCTCAGAAGTAGTGTAACCATCTTATAAAATAATAGTTCTATTTCTTCCTTTTTCCTGTATTTTTCCTTTTGTCCCTCTTTTCGTACCTTTCATTTTACTTATATGTATATCTATACCCATATCTATATAGATCTTATACTTATGAAAATATAGTTAAATTAATTGCTGCTTTTTTTTTTTTTGAAACAGAGTCTTGCTCTGTCACCCAGGCTGGAGTGCAGTGGCGCGTTCTGAGCTCACTGTAACCTCTGCCTCCCGCATTCAAGCTATTCTCCTGCCTCAGCCTCCTGAGTAGCTAGGATTACAGACATGCGTCACAAACCCAGCTAATCTTTGTATTTTTTTTTTTTAGTAGAGATGGGGTTTCACCATGCTGGCGAGACTGGTCTCAAACTCCCGAACTCAGGTCATCCACCCACCTTGGCCTCCCAAACTGCTGTGATTACAGGCCTGAGCCACCGGGTTCGGCATTCCTACTATTTTTTTGAAAGGCACCTGTCTGCTATTGAATATAATTATTTTAAATAAGCTGTTATATGTAAGATCAATTAAGAATATGGAAATTAAAAGTTTTTATTATCTTGAGAAACCAATAAAAAAGTATTAAAAAGTCTGAGATGCTAAGAAAGAAGATTGAATTTTTTAAATGCTGAATAAAAACCACAAAAAAAGGAAAATGAATGGAAGACAAAAATGGAAACAGAGGCAGCGCAAAAACTAAAAGATAGTAACAAGCATGGTGGATATTCATCCAACTATATCAATCATCACTTTGAAAAAGTGTCAACACCTAATTCAGAACAATCATAATCAGAATACCAAGATACGTGTGAATTTATGAATTAATTTCAATATTGCTTTCATTTTTATATGAATAAAGTGTAAATTTAAAATTCTAGAAGGACTTTTTCAATAAGGGTAAATAAGTCTATTATGTGTATAAGGGTTGAGAGAGAGATATTATTCTTTCTTTGAGATTCTTCTTAAGTCTTTGATTCATTGACATACTGTGGATGTCCCCAACAAGACTACTACAGACATTACATATTTACCAATCTGAGCTTCCCTTTAGTGATATAAAGGCCAGCTCGCTTGTCTTTCTCTGTGAGTTTGGCGCACATTGTTCCTTACCCAGCTTCACATTGACAGGTACATCCATATAGGCGGTGGTATAGTAATGATCGAGTAATTGCAGGAAGAATGAAACAAAATGTTGTGGAAAAACTTATGGCAATTGGACATGGCTTATCACAGGTAAAAATGGATGATTTATCTGGAAGGATGGATTGCAAGAGAGTGCACATCAAACAATGAAGGACAGTGACATCTGAGAGACGTGAAACAATGAGGGCTACTGTTGCCTCAGGTTACTGCTTGGGGAGAGTTTCCAGGCTGTGGTGTGGCACGGACTCTGGAAGATACTTGGAGTTGAGAAGATGGAACTGACAGTCTGGACAAAGAGGTGGCTGAATTTCATAAAGCCATTCTCCATGGCTGCAGGAGGAGGGAGCATGCATGCCAACAGCCATGCAGGCTGGACTGTGGTGCCATCATTACTCCACTGAGACATGGTTCACAGGAGTACTGGAGCAGTACAGAAACAAAAAGCAAAGATACAAAGAAAAGTAATTTAAATGATTTCTTTAATAAAGAGTAATTCACCTTTATGCTTTCGCCTAATTTCTGACTACAAAAAGACAAAGTTTTCCATGACTCAGTGATCTTGCATCCAACCCAAGAATGAAGGAATACACACTGTTTAGAAACAAAGTAAATGGTGTGTTAGGTAGATTCAGTCACCCTGTGTGGACACCAACCTGCCTTTCCTATGTTATCCTGTTAGTTGTGGCTGGTAAAATCACTACATTACGAAATAATTAAAGTATAGTTTTCTACTTATAGGAGAACAATACATTTGTCACCAAAAGGAGAAGCCAATAAAGGTTTCTTCCTTCATTGATTTTCCTTAAAAAAATCTCCAGTTTCCTTTGCATCTTAAAAATATTTTTTCTCTGTTCTTCACCACATGAATGCCCCAGGCTATGCAGTTTGCATGAAGTATAGGGTTGCTCTTTAGACACAGTGAAATTAAGTTAAGTTGTAACCCAGTATACTATTTTCCTAAAAATTACCTTTGCATTTTTTCTTTTTCTCAGTGTTCACCTCTTGCTTAGCTCCTCAGAAATGCAAATGTAACCTTTTCCTTCCTTCGTTTCCACCAGTGAAACAACCTGCAAGTATTGCCAGCTTATCTAAGTATATGTTTCCTTAGAAATTCTAAGGACCAAATGTTGAACCAAAGCAGGCAACATCCAGAATTCTCCCTCACAGGGAGACTGTCTCAAGACAATAGTTAATCCACATTCCGACTCTTTCCTCAATGACACTGGTCAGACTAACAGATGACCCCTTAGCTAAGTTTTACAGCAAGTCACATAGACCCCGCACCTCCATGTTCCTTCTGCATACCCTGCACAAGAAAGTTTCTCTTCTTAAAACCCTGCTTTCTTCCCGGAAAACTGAAGCGGCTCCTTTAGATATGAACCTGGTTCTTCTCCATTGCTAAGCTGTGAAATAAAGTCACTTTCTTTTTACCACCCTCTTGCTTGTTATTTGATACGGTAAGTGACAAGTGGCCAAACCTGTGTTTGGTAACAAATTTGGTGGCCTGTATGGGGAGCATTATGTGCTCTGGGCAACCCAAGCCTGTGAGCCTGGTTTTGCTACCAAGGTGGAGGGTTGCCTGTGAGCACCAGCAGCTGAAGGCCAGCAGACCCCATGGCAGGAATGTTAGGGAACTTCCAAGCAGCTGCTGAAAATCTTTCATTTCCTAGACCCTCCCTTTCACTTCCTTGCACAACTTCTGCAGCCATCAACACTTTGCTGGTACAAAGAATGTGACCTCTGAAGAAGCTGGCAGCCCTTGCAACCAAGTGAGCTAGTAGAGTGCACCCGGCTTTCCTGTGTCTTCTGGGGTGTTGCTGGGGCTCTGCTGTTTCGTCTGGTCCACTAATGGGACTATCATCTGAGTGTTTTACGGATTTGTATTTGTGGCACTACTGGGCATGGCTCCATTTGGTCTCAGACACCCATGGAGCTGTTTTGAACAGAGGAGAGAAATTCAGGATTCTACTCAGCCCCTTAACTGGTGTTTGTTTGGAAGCTCACCATTTGTTTGTAAGTGTGAGTGTATAAGACCTTTGAGTGTGGGCCCTGATCTCTTCCTATCCTTTTCACTTCCAACTTCATCTTCTTGACTGTCTTGGAAGCCACCTACAGCCTTAATCATCTCAGTCAAAGGTACCCTTAGCTCTCTCCAGCTGTAAACAGTTTCCTTCCCCCATGATGGCAGAGGTGGGAGGGATTCATCTCACACTGTGCATGTCTAGGGTAGTGGGGCTCTCCCTGATGGGATGTAAGCAAGAGTGGTGGGGGTGCCAACCCTATACCATGCAGCGCTAGAAGGTTCACAAACCTCCTTTTCTTTCTTTTTCTTTCCTTCCTTTTAAAAGGCCTGGCAGGAACTTCATATTCTCATTCTCTTTGGGATTTCAGCTGGTTACTTATTAAGACCTACTTTTGTGAATATTTTAAACAGATAGGCAAATTCTAGCAAGAAAACTTTAGAGCTCAAATGGTTAACTGCAACTATTAAGTTAAGCAGAGTCATCAAAACCTCTCTTTCTTCCTCTGTTTTCTTTTCTGCCTGCTTCAAATTGGATGTTACTAAGCTGTTGGTGCTGTGATAAGACTCATTATTTATGGACTAACTAGAAAGTAAACATAGGAAACTTGTTTAAAACTGAAGGAAAGAAAGGAAAAAGATGCTTTTTTAAAAACAAAACTGCCATAAAGATTGCTTTACCCAAATTTTGGTTCACAGCTTTCATTGTATTATATATTGGAGAAAACAAAATTTAACCATGGAAACAGGTTTCAGTTTTGTCAGACAATAATGTGTATCCAGCTATTTTTATAAAATACTGAGTGTGTACTGTTATTTTATGGATAGAATCCCAAGGTAAAAGCTATTAGACCTTTGCTTGTGTGTATATACATATTTAGTTAGATATGTTTGTGTGTATGTATGTGTATTATGTGTTATGTCTAGCCTGTTACCAAATTGACTTACAAGTAAATAAGTGCTCATAAATTAAGTCAGGATGCTTTTCAAGTTCACATAAATTTAGTAATTCTTGACAAATAAAATTGGTTTTAAGATTATTCGTGACGTAATATTGGAAATATCTTCAAAATGATCAGCATATATTTTTATCTGAGTTTACTGAACAAATGATTTTGTATTTATCTCTGTCTATATCATCAGGTGTCAGGATATGACATAAAGGTTATAAGACCATAAACCCAGCCAAAAACAGAATCATTTTTGTTTGTGTGATTTTACAGATGAGTTAGACTAATTTAATATTACTAGTTCAGTGAAAACAGTTAAATCTTCTGTGCTATTGACAAAATGCCCATATATTGAACTTTAAGGTTCTTACTTAGGTAAAACACCTAATGTCCACAGACTTTAAAAATGGGTCATAGGGACATAAATAAATAATTACTACTTTGATGTAATATCCCAGTTTTCAAAAGTACTCTAGGTAAACTGGTAAAATGGAAAAGCTGAGTACACATAAATGAGATCAATGTTTCTAAGTGAAATTTTTGTATAATTTAAAATCTTAAAATCATTTTGGATGCTTACTAGATGTCTAGGTCATTTCCAATTAAGAAAGGGTTATTATATAGAGAAAACTGTTCTAAAAATTGTGAAATGGTTCTCATCTATACAATACTAATATCTGATAGTTCAGGATTTCTTTTTTCCTAGGTTTCTATCAAATGTGCCAAAGAAGAGGTGTCCTTATTGAGAAAAAGAATTATTTTGTCTAATTCCAAAGTTATATAAAAGTTTATTCAAATTACGGGTTTGAAAAGGTTATTTATGAAACAAGCTGGGAAGGAAGCAGTAAGTGGTGAACAGAGTTGTGAAGAAAGATACAGAAAGGAACATATACTTTTGGTAAGGAAGGTTATAAAGGAAAAAGAGTAATTTTCTATGAGAAAGAATCTTGTATGGGAAATTATTCTCCTAAAGTAAAATGACTGGTTATTTAAGCAACAGATTCTTATTACAAAGTTAATCTAGAAAAAGAAAATTGAAAAAAAATTAAAAAAGAAACAGGTACTACAGGACAAGTATACAGTCCAAGCATGTGACAGATGGTCTGTGTAAGTCATGATAAGGCTCATGAAGAGGAATTTATAAAAGAAATTTTGTATGCAATTAAGCTAGCCATAATTAAAAAGGAGAATAGTCTTTCTAAAGAATGGTCCCCTATGTTAAATCAAGATTTTCTTAAGGTATCAATTTACTCTTAATAAAATTACAATAAATTTTGATTTTCTATTCTATAATCTACTTCTTTTGAAAACTTCTGAGATTCATATCTCAAATGTTCAATTGTTGTCTTGTTGCTATCAGCTTTTTCTCCCTTTGATGTGGCCTGGGATGATAAATCTATCCTTCAGCTTCTTGTCAGCTCCTGTAACTTGTCTCCTTACTTCTAAATGTTGTTGTGGCTGATGCTGAAATATTTTATCTTAGAGGTCTATAAAAGAAAAGTTTTCCTCCAGGATAACCTGATTCTATACTCTTGGGGGTTTTTTTGTTGTTGTTATTTTGTGTCTAAATTTTCACTGTAATCAGGAAAATTATCATGCAGCTACTAAGAGTCATGTATTCCCCAGTTCTACTCATAACCTTGTACACACTCTTTCCATGTTTGATTAAATTCAAACACTTTTTATCTTAAATTGTACTTCCAGATTATCTAAATGGGCTTTCTTCTAAGGAGAGGCAGTCACACTAAAAAAGGTTTTCCTTTGACTTTTTGGTAACTGGCTTAAGAAACAAGATTTTACATTTTATCAAGATAGTTCCTATGCTGCCTTTATTAAGTGTTTAATTGCTTTTAAAAAAAAAACCCGAAATTTGAAAGGAGTAAGGTTTTTAGACCTGAGTAACTTTTTATATTGCCTTTAACGTCTTTCAATGATCACTTTGGTTAAATGAATAACTATTGTTTTACAAGGACCTGTGGTTTAGTTTTGATGAAATATTTTAAGCTTTCTAACATCTTTCACAGACATCTCCCAAATTGAATCCTAAATTAAGTCTCTGACTTATTGCTGGGGCTTATCAAAGCTAAAAAACATTAATCACTGTGAAGTGTATCACCACCTCCAACACCCTGAAGAAGTTCTTATCAGGTGCTATTAACTAATTTTTGTGGTGTTAAGGTACAAGGAATTGACTCCTGGATACATGTAGCTCCTCTAAAGGAGAAACAGACTTCTGCCAGCATCTAACATCAAACTCAACTTAACCAAAGCCTCATCTTTAGACTCAAGCAAAGGCAATAATCAAAGTACACTGCTTTCAAGCAACACAGGGACAGGCCTGTATTATACTTTATTTAATAATTTTGCCTCTATCTGAAATAGGAATATATGAAATATAATTTATTCTGTGCCTTAATCCTAAATTATTTAAATGTTTATCTACCTAACCTTTGACATGTACAGCAAACTAAGCCATAGAATAGAAAGTTTGACAGATCTTTTTAAACATAAGAAGATCTTTTTAATGTGGGACAATTTTGCCTTGTGGCTTATAGAATAGTTTCTGTCCTTCTTTTTAACCAGAGCTATTTAAGAGGAAATCTCTGGAAAATCATAAAACAGAATGTGTAACGTCTGTCGCTTCTAATAAAAGTGATATTAACGTTCAATTTATGAAAGAGAAATAGGAGTAAAGATGAAAATAATTGATACGGTTCACTGAAAAATAATTATGAATGCATATTTAAAATAGAGAAATAAAGGCCTTAAATCTATGATACAAAAATAAATATTTGGTTTTAGATGATGTTTATATGACCAACAAAAGAGAATATTTATACACAAGCATTTAAGACATTTGCACAACAAATTAAATCAAAATCAAGGAGAAATATCACGATGTAAAATCTAAAGTCTTAAGGTGTCATTGGTCAGCAAACAGAATCATTTTTGAACAAACTGAGCCTTTTTTAAAAGACTTGAATTCCCTACCTCACCCCACAACCAAGGCAGGGAGGTGCTGTCCTTGTGCATGCAGAGCCCCCAGAGAGGCTCTGAGCTCAGAGGCTCCCCTGTGAACCTGCCTCTGTTGGGCATGGTCTGGAGGGGGACCCTGTTCACAGGATCATCTACAGCAGGGCAGAAGGGAGCCAGGGTTGCCTCTCTAGGTTTTCAACAACCTTGGCTGTTGTCAAAGATACTAAATACATAAGGTGGGCAGTGGTGTTGGGAGACTGCCTAAGATTCACAAGGACGTAGAGATTTCAGAGTCAATGGCAACGTTCTAAAGTTGTATATCCACAGCCTCATTCAAGGTACAGCTGAAAGGATTGGTGTAAGTGCAAGGCATGCAGGTCTGAACTTCTTTCACCTCATTATAGAGCAGCTCAGTGGTTAAAAAGAACAGGCCCTGGGCCAGGCACAATGGATCACGCTTGCAATTCCTACACTTTGGGAGACTAAGGAGGGTGGATTGCTTAAGGCCAGGAGTTCTAGATCAGCCTGGGCAACAAAGAGAGACCTCCTCTCCACTAAAAAAGTTAAAAATTAGCCGGGCATGGTGGCTTGCACCTGTAGTGCCAGCTACTCAGGAGACTGCGTGGGGAGGATCACTTGAGTCCAGCAGCTCACACACAGAATGTGTTCTGTGTTTGTGCCACTGTACCCCAGTTGGTGTGACAGAACAAAATTATCTCTTAAAAAAGAAGAGAAAGAACAATCTCTAGAGAGAAAATTCTTGAATAGACTCTCTTAATAATAAGAGTGTGGTATTTGCACAGAGATAGAATAAACAGCCAATAACTTAAAAAACAGACGTATGCATATATAAGCATATATTTAAGTTGCTGAATGGGGGAAAATTGGATTTTTATTAAAATATTCCAGGGTATTGAATATCCACAGGGAGAAACTAAAATCTGACCTATGACCTGACATTACACACAAAATTAATTATAGTCAGTTCATAGACATAAATACAAAAATATGTAGTAGAGTATACAGAACACAATTCAGGAAAATAACTTCAAGACCATGAGGTAGGCTAAGCTGTCTGAAACTAGACCTGAAAAGCATTTAACATATAAGACAAAACATATTCTATGTAGTTGATGTCAGCAAAGACTCTAGGGCATATAGAATCAAACTCAAGGTTCTGTTAGGCCTCTCCTGTGGAGATTTAGCTCAGACTTAGAAATGGACCAGAGGAGCAGGAATAGTCCTTACTTTCTGAGATGGCAGGTGGATTGTATGAAATGGTAACATATAAACCATGCAGTATATTACTAAGCCTACACTAACCCCGAGAAATCAATATTCTAGTAAATTGTGAGATGTATCAATTGCATCAGTTGTAACATGTCATTATTTTCTGTATCAGAATGAAAGAACAAAACCACCAACAATGAAACTAATACTTTTATCATGTGGAAATACATTGTATAATAATAACATCATTATATTATAATTATTGGAAAAAAAGCTATTTTCAAGACATATATATGTGGATATTTCTCTTGTCTTTTGTCACTCCTATGATTACATGGGATGGAACACATAAGGAAAATACACCGACAAAGGTTTTCCTAAATTTTCTCCCATTCAGATCCAACTCTCCTAAATCAATCTTCAATTCATCTTGCTCATGGTGTTCCCCATGTTATCATCATTTGTGCTAATCTGAGGATTTGGTGATGCTGCATTTCCTGTGATATTCCTACGTTGCTCCTGCGAGTTTATATTTTCAACCTTCTGAAACCTCCCGTGCAAGATTTGATGCTGATGTTGATGACATCACCCAAAAACATTGACAGGAGGTTTGCAGACCAAGTTTATACAGGTAAATGAGGACAATCACATTATGACTGCCTTCTCGTCAATAGTGTTTTAACGCTTTCAAATTTAAGATGCATCTGTATTTGATAGATGTGAAAATGTGCACTCTACAATGAATGGAATACACTGTTTTCTCTGTGACTGCTCTTTTCTCAGTGTTAAATTATGGTGGCTCATTGGCTATATTCTTGTTTGTTATTGAGGAAATATGCTTAAATCTTATCACATAAATTTATAAACTGCATTTATATTCTACCTGGGAGCTTCACCGCTGTCCTCCATTAGGGAAGTCCAGTTTGTTCACTTCTCATTAAAGTGAGTGTCCAGAGAGGTGTTATAAACTGCATTTATAATTTTAGACACATTAGAGTTATTAGTGGAGTACTAGAATTCTTATGTCACGTATGGAAATATAGTTCTATGAACCATGGTTTAAGAAATCCATTGAAGACGGAGATGAAAATTGTAAAGAGCTACTTGAAAAATTCACTGGCGTGGTAGCTCTCTAAAGACCTGGAAAAAAGTATTTTGAAACTTTAAACTGTAATCTTAGAAATATGAGCAATCCTTCCTGTAAACTTCCTTACAGATTCCATTCTTTCGGATGTAACATTTGTGTATCTTTTTCTTCATTCACATTTGTCCTTTTAATCACATGGCTGGTGATCGTAGAAATCACCTCATGATTAGTCACTGCAGAAGTGAATGCATAATGGTCTTTATAAGATATTTTGATCTGGCCCCTTGCTACTCTGGTCAACTCTACTTTGGGTACTTGGATATTGGAATCGGTTTCGGTATCCCCTCATGAGTACACTGAGTGATAAAAAAACTCATACAGTCACAGTTAAGGAGGTTGACTGAAATTTCACCTAGAGTTTTAGACTCCAGGAAGGTTGAATTAAGTAAACACAAAGTCATGTCATTACATATATGAGACATTCCTTCCTTGAACTCAATCTTCTTATCAGGTTAGAGTGTGGAGACAGAGCATTGGGTTTGCCTCATGATGTGGTCTAAAAATGTAGTTTGTTTGCAATAGCATCTGTTGTAGACTTGTGTCCAGACCAGCCTCTATACAACAGTTGATTTAGGATACTGTGCAAAATCATATCTTCCATGCAGTGAAAGTTTGTCTAGGGACTCAGTGCTCAGCACTTTGTCATCTGTGCCTGTGACATCATGCTATTCAAGATTTATGGAAGTCAATGGGAGTTGACATACGTAGTTCCATATATGTAGTTCCATGGCTTTGTAGGCCTTTTAGGCATGGTTCCTGAAAACAACTCTGCTGCTACTAAGAAGGGTGCAATGGCCTCTTAATAGGAAGCTGTGTGGAGAATTAGTGGGCAGCCAGTACACATGCAGAAACAAACACAGCCTGTTTCTGTCTCTCAGATCACTGCATGGAGGGTTGGAGATATGCTGTATATTGTTTTCTTTTTTTGTTTGTTTTTCACCTAATGAGATTTCTCTTTTTGTGCACAACATGTATATATCACTCAGTAGCATTCACCTGCAAAAACCCTGTTGTAAAGATTTATTCCCAGGCCTCTGGAAGCAGGGACTGCCCTAAAGCAACTTATTAGAAATATTTTTTGTACTCTGTTTACCTGCTATCTTGATGGCTTTAGGGTTGGCCAAGGGCAATATAATTCCACCATGTGAGTATCAACAGAGTGCATGGTCCTGAACAGTTCCTGATGGAGCCTGTAGAATGAAGCAAAGTAAATTAGAACAGGTTTTCTGAAAGGTTTGAAAGTAAAGTTGTCTTTGGATTACTTGAAGAAGAAAT